>NT_187660.1:4997716-5161414 GCF_000001405.40 Homo sapiens | reverse complement strand
GAATTCTTACCAATCAGTAATAAAAAGAAACTATGCTACCTGATTGTAGTAGATGGAATTACAGATCATGCACCTAGTTGCTCCATATGCAGACTTTGAAACAATTCATTTCTATTTAGCTTCTTAACCATTCCTGTCTCCACCAACGCAGGATGCCTCTTACTCGTGTATGTCTGGCATTCTACCTCCCACAGCTATACCTAGGAATTTACCAGTCCTCCAACTTCACATTTTCTGTTTTAAAACTTAAAGGGCTCCCCTAGTTTTATGGAAGATAGATTTTATTTTTCAAATCATTAGGTCTCATAATTTTGGGCTAATTTTTTAGGAGAAGAGGAAGTCGAAAGGCCTTTACCACCCCAAATTCCAAGTGAATTTGATTCTCATATCTTAAAGGCTATTCCCTTGTTGCAATATGACTAATTAGGAATGTACATCTTTGCTGGAATAATTATTTCAAGGGAGAGGCCACAGGACTAGAAGTCAGGCATCTAGGCATCTCTGGGCAAATCATCTACCATGTGTGTTACACCCTTGTTGATCTAAGAGAACCTCTGGGTGCATATGCTCATGGTTCCAGTCAAGATGGGTGTAGACGCTCACTCTTCATGGATGGCAGTGGGTAGGTTTTTTCAGTCACTATGTTATGCCATTCACCTGAAAGCCTGAATGATAGTGTATGATACGCACTTGCTTCCCGTGATAGCTGTGCTATGAGAGTAAGAAGGAGGATAAGACTAATTACGGGGGAAATGTGCTGGGACATAACACCGCAAACCCTAACAAAATCTTGCAGCAGTTCTAAAATATCTACTAAAATACAGTAATATTTCATCTTTCTCTTTTTACCAACATTTCGTGGAATATTTATTTTATATTCATGGAAGGAACTCAGTGAACCTGTTGGAAGCAATATGGCACTTACATATCAGCAGCTGTTAGCCAGAAAATTAACAGAGTGGAGTGACTTGGGTTGTAAGTAGTGTACATTATGGCAATGGCGGCAAATGAAGACTATGCGAGAAGTTGTCTGCAAAAGGAAAATGTGAGGTGCCCTAAGTATCTTTAAAGGAAGAAGTGTTTCCCTTGGAGTTCTGTCTCAGATTTTGCCTTCCAGTGGCTTGAGGCACTGCAGCTAGGGGTGCTCACTCTTGCTGGCTCTTCACCTCTACACAGGAGTGGGAAAGAGCCAGGTAATTTGCATCGTGGATACCCTCTAAATCAAAGGCCATCCATCATTTCTGATATCTTGAATGCAATGATTATCATATCAAAGACATATGATGACATTGAAGATAATAACTTTTCTGTTGCCCATTATCTCTAACCAGCTTGGCGTAATTATTAGCATGTGTTCTTTCCAAAAGCCTAACACTCTAACATGTTGGAAAGAAAAAGCCCTATTTAAGCCACCAAAGATATACGTGTGTGAGACTGGGTTGAAGTTTTTATTATTAGATGAGAAATTATATAGACAAGACAGGAAGTCCAAAGGTCATGCAAACTTTGTTATTTAGAGGTTTTAGGAGGGCACTATGGCTGTCTGTATACTTGGGATTGGCTTTCTATGAGAAAGTTACTTCCAATACTTCCTAAATGAGTACAATAGCTTTAGTAAAGGACTCCGTGGAGATTGATATTCTGAAAGGGGCTCATGGGAAAAACCTCTGGAAATCAGGGATTATAGAAACATACATATATCTATGTATTGGCACCGTGCTAAGTGCCAATGATCAGTAACAAAATAATACATTTATTTAGAGTCACTTCACCCCTCAAAATGTCCATGGACCAGCAGCAACATAATCACCTAGAAGATTATTAGAAATATAAAAATATCAGCCCCTGTATTAGTTTCCTAGGGCTAATTTAACAAACTGTCACCAACTGTTGACTTGAAACAACAAAAATTTATTGTCTCATAATTCTAGAGTCTAGAAGTCTAAAATCAAAGCTGTTCGCAGGGCCAAGCTTTGGTAGCTCTGGTTCTGTCTGAAGGCAGTGAATGCACTGATGTCTCTTGGTCTTTTCTTCCCGCAAGACTCCATGATCAATAGGAAAAAGCATGTGATTTTGTTTGGGGGTTTGTCTTCTACATTACACAAAATCAGAAATCTGCCCACAGCCCTACCCTCCCCCCTCCAACCCATCACACCCCCACACTGTCATAGCCTTCACCTGCTGTGGCCTCCGCATTAGCCTTCTGAGTGGAATTCATCAGCCTGAAAAACAAGAAAAGGGTTTTTCTGTCTCGTCAGGATGGGGATGGGGTGCCAAATACGTTCTCAGACTCAAGACAGGGTGACAATTTGCCTTTTCACATTTCTTGGTGAAGAGCCTAGATCCTTAAAGTAAACTTCATCCAAGCAATTTTATGTGTCCCCAAAAATAAGGCCATGGAAGAGATTCAGACCTAACAGTTTGACTAAACAGTGAAGCTTAGTTTTCCTTGAAACATTTAATGAGACAGATTATCAGCTGTATGTGGAAAGCTTATTTTAATGTCATTATCAGGCCAGTTGACAGAGGCTTCTTCCCAGAGGCCTACCAGGCCATACTGGCCATTAGCAGCAAGAGCTGTTTTGCACCACGTCGGATGACATTGCATAATATGGCACTACACAGCCAGCCAACCAGCTCTTCTGGGTGTGATGGCAGAGTGGCAGGGGATGGAGCAGGGAAGAAGAAGGGGACCAAGGAAACTGAATCAGCATTGTACTCCTGGGCACCTGCCAAGTAACAATTGCATATTTCCAAAGAAGCGGTTATTCTCCCGTAAGAGAGAAAGCAAGATGGCTGTGGTCCTGCCCTTCCCCTTCCCCAGGCACTCCCTTCTGGCACTGGCTGGGAGGAATCATTGCTTACCTGTCCCATTTGTAGTCACTGCCATATTAGAAATCGTAGGGAGGGGACTAGAATAGCCACAGCTATAAAAGGATTCTGCCAGTTGGTTCCCCCATGATTTTTTTCTGTGCATAAGGCCTGTATCCATAGGCTACCATACCTCATTGCCTTGCATCGTTTTGCATCACTTCTTGGAATTTCTTTCCATTGCGAAACTCTCACTCTGTTTTCCCAATTAGATGTCTATTACTTAGAAGATTTTTTGATTTGGATGGCAGTTAAATGAGAATAAAAATTAAACCTAAGGCCTTCTTAATATTCTCTCTCATCTCACAAAGATACTGCTCTCTAATGCAGCTAAAGTTTAGACCCTATACTAATTTATAATTTGGAGGTATTCAAACTAAAGTATCAGTGCAATCATCAGAGCCTGTAGCCCTTGAATAAGTGAAACAATTTCTGCATCTCTAACATAGGATTCTACGTGTCTTCCAACCCACTCCACAAGAATGTCTTAAAGAGAAACATAACAGTCATTATGAAGGTACCTTTATCTATTTGGAAGCCCATGACTTAGAAGTGGGATGACTGTTACTAAGACAAGCTGACTTGTCATCAGTAGCATATCTACTTTTTACCAACCAGCCTCTTAATGTCCATAGTTTGGCCAGGTGGTGGAATTCAGCGAGTATTGATGTGAAGCATAAGCAAGAGATAACACTAGTTTGATGGCACAAAAATAGAAGTTGTATTTTTTAGAATTGTACTTGGGAGAATCAGATTGTCTAATTTATGTGAATTCTCCACGCTGTTGTTCAATCTTACCAAGAAAGGCCAGATCATTTACACACTTGTTCTATATAGCTGACCGTGTACCCTATGTGGATATTTGGTATACAGGTCGAGTATCCCTTATCTGAAATGGTTGAGACCAGAAACGTTTCAGATTTCAAATTTTCCAGTTGAGCATTCCAAATCTGAAAATCCAAGACCTGAAATACCCCACTGAGCATTTTCCTTGAGCACTGTACCAGCGCTGAAAAAGTTCTGGATTTTGAAATACTTCGTATTTTGGAGTTCTTGAGTTTTGAATTTGGGATGCTCGACCTGTATATCATTGTCATGAAAGTAAATGTCTACTCATATATATATGGTTTCTACATTTATTTGTTTGTTTTTGGTGGGGTGAAATAGTTGATTCAGACAGGAAAAGCAGCAACTTTCACATGCCCTTAGTTCCCTGAAGTGCCAGCAGCTATTCATTGGTGATAGCACATGTGGCTGTATTTGAAAAAACTCTCTGCTTATTTGCCAGGCTCTAGGATAAAACTGACTGTGCTGGAGATGGAAACCCTGTGACTGGAACTGAGTATGTTCAAATGTGAAACTTAAGCCAAAGAGCAAAATATGCACTCGATCTGGTATAGGTATGAATGTGTTTGGTGTCTAGCAAAGGTGTAGATGTAGAAATTAATCATCTTCCTTTCAGACAGGGAAGGCTCCATGGAAGAAGAGGGCTTCTGTGTTTCTCTTAATTTTGTAGCTATGCCAAACTCACTTGGCTGAGCAGACTTCCAGCACTTGTGGTCTATTCAGAACCATTTATTTTTATTTTTGGCCCTGTCTGCCAAGCTCAGGCAGAAAGCCGAAGATATACAGTGTACAGATTTTCTGTAGATGTAAAAATCCCACTGGACCTGACAAGAATTCTTTCTCAGCCTGTCTGGCAGAACTTTTCTAGCTGAGGTTGAAGGTATGATTTTCCCAGTGTAGCAAATCTGTCTTCCCATTTTTGTCTTAATTCTTATTCACAGAGGCAGGCTTTAAAAAAATTCACATATGTGAGGAATAATAATAATTTGTCTATACTGGCTTAATGTACAGGTTTAGACAGTGTGGGCCTGCCTTTCCCACTCTGGAAGGCATTGGGAGAGTCCCTTAGGCGATGTAATAGTACGCACGTGTGACATGCCCTAATCCTGGCATGTGGCAGGGGTCTGGAAAGGCTTTGCCTTAAACTAGGCATGTCTAATAGGGTTTAACGCAACCTGTGAATTTGCCCCTGCACAAGGTCAGCTTGTAGGTCAGTGGAATGCTGCACAAATTGCATTCTCCTCCAGACTGTAATTATACCTAGGAGAAAGCCATGTGCTGCCAAGTTCAGCTGACTCTAGATAGGGCGGAGATAAAGTGAGGGCTTGCTAACGTCCCTCAAAAACTGATTTTTAACAATCTGATATAAAACATCTCTTGTTTAAAAAAAAATGGTGATCTTGAGGTTTCTGAAGGAGCTTAGTGTAGGGGATGGTGACCAGCTGTTTCCTACCTTCCCTGAGAGCAGAAAAAGATGGTTCAAAATGGGAGCATGAGGAATTTGAGCCAAACATCAGGTAAAATAGTTCACTGCCAAAAGTCTCTTAATACTAGAAAATGACTTGGAGGATTATTACACATCAGGTAATATGCATATGAGGACAAAGAAGAATGAAAAGTGAGTATGATAAGGGATCATAGACTAGGAGTGGAATGAACAGTTTAATTTGTATTTACAATTAGCTGAAGTAGTGCTCTGTTGTATTGTTTGAGAGAAAATGGCTATAAATGTGTGCATTATCTAAATGTAACCTTTATAATGAAGTGTGCACATTCTTGTAAAGTAAGGTCTATACTTACATACGTGGACTTCTGGGCCAACCCAAAGGCAGAGGGATAAATTAGATGAAATTTGTAGGTTTCTTCAGTGCTAAGTGTTAAATGACTCCAAAATCCAATTCAACCAGAGTAACATTGGATAAGCAAAATCTTACAAATACTTACACTCTCCAGTAAATGTTTTCTGAACTATCTTTCCTGAACAGCCTGTAGTAGCCACTTTTCCCCCCAAGAACCTACATGGAATAAAATCAAGTTGGGAGCTTAAAGCATAAATTCTATCTACTGGCTTCACGTAAACATGGAAAATAATTATTTTGACATTCATATTATTGGTTCCTGCAGCTTGATTTTTTTCGCAGGCTGCTTTTTATGTTACGTGGGGATAAGGCACTAACCTGTGGGCCGGGGCTTTTGGGGAACCTTTCCTTTGTTATTTACCTAAGGCAAGCTAACTAACTCCTTTTAATATGATGAAGCTGGATGCTAATACAGTCAGGAATCCCACTAACGTCTAACAATCAAATGTGATAAACTGACCTCATGGTTTTGTGAAAGCCTCTGCTGCTATTGGGTCTTAATGCCCGGAAGAACCTTTACCCTAGTGGCCATGAAGAATGGTAAGAGTCCTTTCTGTTTGGACACCCAGACCATGAGTTACAGTGTCTTTTGGGGTTCATGTTCTGCAGAGCCTATCATCTCTCAAGACTCTGATGGAGAGGTTTTATAAAAGTGAGATCTGGATTTTTGTTTCGGAAAAAAAGGCACTGGATGTAACATTCTTTTGGGAATGTGTTTGAGTTACGTGGATAAAGATTGTGCTAGAAACAGCCACCTTTTTCAAACTCCCTTTTTAAATAAGAGTCTTGGCATTTTCAAGGATCGTATACCTGAGAATAATTACAAACTCTTTTAAGTTACTGATCTTATGAGTAGCTCCTGTATCCGTTATTTATATATGTTTGCCCTCTTTAAACTAGTCTTTGAACTCCATTGAACAGACACACACACACACACACACACACACACACACACACACACAATTTTTATTTTGTTTGCAGTAGACATGGGAATTTGCGTATTGTGAGGACCGTTGAATTGGACTGTCTGCCTTTCAGCGTTGATACAATGACGAGCAAGGGCAGGCCTAGAAATAGAAGGCTGAAGGCTGGTCTCCTGACTTTTCTCTGAATAACTGGTTTACTACATCATGATGTTGATCCCATTCCACAGCTGGCCAAGAGGTCATTCATGAAAGCTCAGCAGGCAAAGGTTGAAAACTAGAGGGAAGGACTGTTGTAGTTTATGGCTATAGTTCTCAGTTTTTGTATTTCTACTTAGATTGTGATATTGTTGGGAACCTCTTCCTTAGGCCAAACAACTGAAAAATTGTCAAAATAGCACAGAATGCTAATAGCAAACAGAAGCTTAAGGAGTGGGTTGGTGCTTAATAATTAGGTTTTTGAGTTAATTATCAGTTTCTTATAACTTTTGTATTTGAAATCTGTGCTTATGTAAATATATATATTAAATTTCCTACCATAAAAAGAGCAGAATATTAAGTATCTGATAATTTCAGGCAATTTATGATTCTAAAAATTTCCCAGATTATCACTATGATCACCAGTCCACAGCGTTCAGTAAATAAATATATAGATATGGAAGGTGTGATTCGTTGAATTTGATTTCTTTCAAGCACAGTATAAGAGATGTCAATGGATTTGGGAGACTAAATACCCAATATTAGTTTATCTTCATATAGTTTTTCTCTTCCAAGGGGAATTTTTGAAATTCACTTTTTCTGTCTAAAAGTTAGCTTACTAATAATGAATATAATCCAACAAAAGAAAAGCTAGGGAAATTTTCAGTTAATAGATGGTTCAACATAAATTACGTTCTGGTTATTTGAAACTTAACAATGATTCTAAAAAAGCATTCAGAAAGCGAAGTAGTAATATTGGTTGATAACAAATTAAAAAAAAAATCTTTGTCATGTTCCACATCTTTGTTATCACTTTTTCTTGTTCTCTTCATCAGTTTTCTTCACTCTTGTCTTTTTTTCCCCTTAATATTTTCTTCCTCACTACTCTGCAATAAATTCTTCGGTAATGGGTATATATCTGGGTAAGGAGGTTGTAAGATTTGATAATGAACATAAAAAATGAATTACCGTAAAAATTCGGTTAGCTGTGCTTCTTGCTTTAATGCCCCAGCAGTGAGATAGCTATACATACTTTACAGGACTCTTGAGCCTGAAGTATTGTTATCACTCTGGAAAGTCCACAGGGGGCCACTAAAGGAATAAAGGTTTACAGTATTGCAATACTCACTGCCCCCAGTGCACAACTGTCCATTTGGATTGGCTAATGTGCAGAGGAACACAATACCAGTGCTTAGTGGAGATGTAGTAACAGGTCGTTCTATTCCCTCTTCCCTTTGAAAATGACTTTTATGTACAGCAGGCTCTTTGTAAATCTTTTTTCGTCTTATTTAGCTAAGCCCTTATTTAAGTGTATTTGTATTGTACCAGCCTAGTAGATCTAGTAATTGGAAAATATAGCAAAAACAATATAAAGACAATTCATAAGATGTGACTAATAAAAATCATTAAAAATGCAAAATAAAATCATGAAAACACATTTCACCTGTTTTTCAGCCAACAGTTTTAAAATTGGTAATACCTAAAGTGGGTGTGGGAACAGAAAAACAGTTGCTCTCAAATACTTGGCAGGGTAAGTCTAATAAGAAACAATTCTGAAATATTTATCAAATTTTCAAATGGGCATATTATTTGAATGATTTCTATGAGTCCTATGAAAATACAAACTTGCATGACTAAGGATCTCTCTGCCTGCTTGTTCGTTGTAGCATTCTTAACAATTGACAAAATTTGGAACATTTCTTCAGACAGAGTCTTTGCTCTGTCACCCAGGCTGGCGAGCAGTGGCTTGATCTTGGCTCACTGCAACTTCCACCTCCTGGGTTCAAGCAATTCTCATGCCTCAGCCTCCCGAGGAGCTGGGATTACGGGAGTGTGCCACCACACCCACCTAATTTTTGTATTTTTAGTAGAGATGGGGTTTCATCATGTTGACCAGGCTGGTCCCGAACTCCTGGCCTCAAGTGATCCACCCACCTCGACCTCTCAAGTTGCTGGGATTACAGGTGTGAGCCACAGCTTGCCTGGCCAAAATTTGGATGATTTCTAATTGTCCTTTAGTAGGGGAATACTTAAATGATGTGATGTTTTTAGAAATGGCTCTGCCTGCACTGACAAGGAAGTTGTCAGTAATGTGTTTCTACGTGAAAAAAACACGCTACACAGTGAAAAAAAAAAGTGCAACAAAATGTATACTTTTTCTCTCCTATAGTCTTCAAGTTTCTTTTTTCCTCCTGTCTACTTCCAATACATTCTCCTCACACCCTGCTAGCCCAATTTCTAACCAATCTCAGAAAGATCTAAGTGTATATCAAAGTCTTGGGTTGTACTGAACCATTTCTATGTGTGTTCACAAGTCTAATGTGTTATTGTCCTCCATTTGTTTCCTTTCAGTTATTTTGCATATCTTAAGGAAGATCTTTTAAAATATATGTTTCTTCTACTCTTTTTCTCGTTACTCTTCCTTCATTTCTAATTCTTTTCCTTGTAGTTTGTTTGGTACTGTCCTCCAATTATGAAGGAGAGGCCAGCCCCCTTTCAGCGAAGCCTGACTCAGTCTCAGATCAGTCTGCTCTTACTCTCACTACCAACATGTCCATATGAGCCACTTTGTGACTGGGAGCATATTTGGTGGAACCCAGCCACTTTTGTCTTCTCTCTCTATCCATGGATGACATAGCATTTGCCTCTCAGAAACTAAAAGTGGGAAAGGGGGAGGTAATGTCATCAAGATGGTGGAATAGAAAATACCGGATCCTTGTTGCCCCATGGAGATGCCAATTTAATAATACACGGGCCAGTTCCCTTTGTGAGAAATTCAGAAATCAGTTAAGAGGCTCCTAAACCCCAGGTGAGCATGAAACCAGTTGTATTGAAGCTAATAGGAAAATTCATGGCACTCACTCATCTGACTCCCTTTCTGGCACAATACATTGATTTAGAGAAAACTACCTCCTGGCTTCTCCTTTGGGAGGGAGAGAGAAGACTGGATCTTATGTCTAATGTTCAGACTTTTGGGGAGGTACTTTGAAGACTGGTTTCTGTTGTGTGTGAATCTAAGAGCTAACAGGGAAAGATGCCAGGTTGGGAACCACTGAGAAGAAAGATGATGATATGAATTAGTATGCATTCAGTGCAATTGCCCCTCACCCTTGCTCAGGGCAGAGTAAGTGAGAGTAAACCTCCAAATCCTGGCTTCTCCTTGGAGAAGGAAAAAGTCGGAGCATCCGTCCAATGCTCTGGCTTTTCAGAGGGCCGCCCAAGAGACTGATTTCTGTCTTGCCCGACTTGGAGTGCTGATGGGACACAGCATACTCTAGATGCCTGGAGACTGCTGAGAACAAAAAGCTAGGTGGCCTGCAGTACAGTAGACAGAGGCCAATACAGCTCAGCAGCTTCTCCCACATGGACTGCAGGGGAAAGAAGAGTGGAGCTTGTGTCTAGTGTTTCACCTTTTCACAGTGTTGTCCAAGGAACTGTTTTTTCTTCTTCCTCTGCTTCCTCCTCCTCTTGCTCTTCTTCATCTTCACCCATCTTCTTTTCTTCTTCTTCTCCTTCCTTCCTTTCCTTCTTTCTTCTCCTTCCTTCCTTCTTTCTCCTCCTCCTTCTCCTCTTCCTCCCACTCCCCCTCCTCTTTTCTCCTTTCTCCTTTTCCTTCTTTGACTCTGTGTGTTCATGGGACTTGACATACTCTAGATGTTTGGGGGCAGATGAGAACAAAAAGGAGCTGGACAGCTTATACCTCCAGAGAAACTGCAGTACCATAGACAGACACTAGAGAGAGCAGGGATTATGAGCTCCTGAAAAACCAAAATCCCTCTAATTGGGAATTCACATACGTAAGTCCAGAGAATATTTATCCACAGAAAAAGGCTTGAAAATCCCCCAGAGACACTAGCTGGGCTGATTGGCAAAGGTCTTTCACTGTATGAAATCAGTCTGTAAAGAATGAGAATGGTGACTTCTTTTTCACATCCCAACACAAAGTAACAAAGCACACAAAGAAACAGGGGAGCATGGACCAACCAGTGGAACAAAAGAAATCAAACCAATCCTAAAGACACAGATGTATATGAATTACTTGACAAATAATTCAAAATAAATGTCATAAAGATGTTCAGTGAGCTCAGGAAAAAGATACATGAACAAAATGACAGTATCAACAAAGAAATAGAAAATATTATGAAGAACCAAACAAATATTGGGGCTAAAGAATACAATAACCAAATTTAAAAGCTCACTAGTGGGGTTCAGTAGCAGACTTAATGAAGCAGAAGGAGGAATCAGATAAAGAGAGGTCGTTTGAAATGATCCATTTAGAGGAGCAAAAAGAAAAAAACGAAGAGGAGGCTAGGTGCCGGTGGCTCACGCCTGTAATCCCAGCACTTTGGGAGGCTGAGGTGGGCAGATCACGAGGTCAGGAGTTCAAGACCAGCATGCCCAACGTGGTGAAACCTCATCTCTACTAAAAGAACAAAAATTAGCTGTGTGGGGTGGCGCACGCCTGTAATCCCAGCTATTCAGCAGGCTGAGGCAGGCGAATCGCTTGAATCTGGGAGGCAGAGGTTACAGTGAGCCAAGATCACGCCATTGCACTCCAGCCTGGGTGACAGAGCAAGACTCCGTCTCAAAAAAAAAAAAGAGTAAAGAAAGTCTAAGGGATGTATGGAACACCGTCAAGCAGATCAATAGACACATTGTGACAGTTACAGAAGGAGAAGGTAGGAAGGGAGGAAAGTATATTGGAAGAAATAATGGTCAGATATCTGGCGGAAGAAATAAACATTCAGATTGAAGAATCCCGATGGATCCCGATTACAAGAACTCAAAAGACCACACTGAGCACATTATAATCAAACTGTCAAAAGTTAAAGACAAAAAAGAGAATTTTGAAAGCAGGAGGTGAAAAGCAACTCATATAAGGGCACCCCAACAAGACTATCAGAAGATTTCTCAGCATGAACTTGCAGACCAGAAGGATATAGGGTAATATATTCAAAGCAATGAAAGAAAATTACCAAGTAAGAAAACTATATCTAGAAAAACTGTCTATCGGCTGGGTGCAGTGGCTCACGCCTGTAATCCCAGCACTTTGGAAGGGTAAGGCAGGTGACTCACAAGGTCAGGAGTTTGAGACCAGCCTTCCCAACATGGTGAAACCCCATCTCTACTAAAAATACAAAAAATTAGCCAGGCATGGTGGTGCGTGCCTGTAATCTCAGGTACTCAGGAGGCTGAGGGAGGAGAATCGCTTGAACTCAGGAGGCAGAGGTTGCAGTGAGTGGAGATCATGCCATTGCACTCTGTCTGGGCGACAGAGCAAGACTGTGTCTCAAAAAAAAAAAAAGAAAAAGAAAAATTGTCTTTTGGCCAGATACAGTGGCTCATGCCTGTAATTCTAGCCCTTTGAGAGGCCGAGGCGGGTGGATCACCTGAGGTCAGGAGTTTGAGACCAGCCTGGCCCACATGGTGAAACCCCACCTATATTAAAAATACAAAAATTAGCCCAGCATGGCAGGGGACGCCTATAATCTCAGCTACTTGGGAGGCTGAGGCAGGAGAATCGCTTGAACCTGGGAGGTGGAGGTTGCAGTGAGCCAAGATTGCGCCATTGCACTCCAGCCTGGGTGACAGAGTGAGACTCAGTCCTCCCCACCCAAAAAAAAAAAAAAAAAAGGAAAAAAATTGTCTTTCAGAAACAAAAGAGAAATAGATGTTCGTAGATAAATAAAAGTGTAGGGTGTTCATGACCACTAGACTTACAAGAAATGATACAGGAAAGCCTTTAAAGTTGAAATGAAAAGGGCATGACATAGCAACACAAAAGCATATGAAAGCGCAAAGCTTGTAGATAAAGGTATATATACAGATAAATACAGAATACTATAATGATGCGGATAAATCACTTTTAACTCTGGTATAGAATTTATGTCTGCCAGATATTAAAAACAAATATAATTATAAAAATACGTTAATGGATACACAATAGAAAAAATATAATTTGTTATATCAATTACATGAAGTGTGGGAGTGGAGAAGTAAGAGTAGAATTTGTATATGTGATTGAAATTAGCTTAAAATAGATTATTATACCTATAAAATGTTTTATGTAAGTCTCATAGTAACAACAAAGAAAATGCCTATAGGAGATACAACAACAAAAAGAAAAGAATCAAAGCAAGTCACTGTAAGAAACAAAACACAAAAGTCATCAATATAGAAAAAGACAAAACTACAAAAGCTACAAAACAATGAACAAATTAGCAATAATAAGTTCTTGCCTCTCAGTAATTACTTTAAATGCAAATAGAGAAAATTTCTCAGTCAAAAGACATAAAATTGCTAAATGGATAAAAAAAGATGGAACTATATGCTGTCTATAATAGTCATTTTAGACTCAAGGACACAGGCTGAAAGTGAAAAGGGATGGAAAAAGATATTCCAAGAGTTAATTTAAAAAAACCAACAACTGACATCCTTAGCTAAACTAAAAACAATCCAAAAGACAGCAGGGTGGCCATAGTTAGAATTTAAGTCAAAAACTCTAACAAAAGAAAAAGAAGGACACTATTTAATGATAAAAGGGTCAATTCACCAGGAAGATATAACAGTTATATGTGCACCCAACGTACAAGCCAAATATATGAAGCAAATTTTTACAGAACTAAAGGGAGAAATACACAGCAACACAGCAATGGGAGATTTCAATAACCCACTTTTGATAAATGATGTAACAAGATAGATAAACAATAAGGAAACAGAGGACTTGAGCAACACTATATACCAAATGGACATAATGGAAATAGACCATTCCACCCAACAGGAATTGGGTTTTGAAACACATTCTTCTCAAGTGCACATTCTCCAGGATAAGTCACACGTTATGTCAGAAAACAAGCCTTAACAAATTTTTAAAAATTGGAATTATACCATGTATCTTTTCTGACCACAATGGCATGAAACTAGAAATAATAGCAGGAAGAAAACTGGAAACATTATACATACAGGGAAATTAAACAGCACACTTTTGAACAACCAGTGGGTCAAAGAAGAAACCAAAAGGGAAATTGGAAAATATCTTGTGACAAACAGAAACAAAAATACAACATACCAAAACATATGGGATGCAATAAAAGCAGTACTAAGAGTAAGGTTTTAGGGTGAACACCTATGTTTAAAAAGATTTCAAATAAACAACCTGACTCTACACTTCATGGAACTAGAAAAAGAAGGATAAACTAAGCCCAAAGTTAGTAAAAGAAATGAAATAAGGATTTCAGCAGAAAAAAAGCAAAATAGAGTATAGAAAAACAATAGGAAAATAGTCAACACAACCGAGTTGGTTTTTTGAAAAGATAAACAAAATGGACAAATCATTAGCTAAATTAAGGAGAAAAAGAAAACACAAGTATATACAAAATGAGAGAGAAGACATTACAACCGATGCCACAGAACTGGAAGGATTATAAGAACCTACTATGAACAATTACATGCCAAAAAATTGGATAACCTAGGAGAAATAGATCAATTCCTAGAAATGTACAACCTAGCAGGACTGAATCATGATGAAGTGGAAAATCTGAACAGACCTGTAACAAGTAAGGAGATTGAATTAGAAATCAAAAACCTCCAGAGAAAAGCCCAGAACCAGATGGCTTCAGTGGAGAATTCTACCAAACATTTAAAGAATAATTAACAGGGAAGCAGTGCTTCTCAAACTCTTCCAAAAAATTGAAGAGGTCACCCTTCCAAATTCATTTTATGAGAACAGCATTACTCTGATACCAAAGCCAAAGACATTACAAGAAAAGAAAACTACAGGTCATTAGCTCTTACAAATATAGATGTTAAAATTCTCAACAAAGTACTAGTAAACTTAATTGTCTCACTCTGTTTCCTAGGCTGGAGTGCAGTGGCACAATATCAGCTCACTGCAACCTTGGCCTCCCGGGTTCAAGTGATTTTCCTGCCTCAGCCTCCCAAGTAGCTGGGACTACCAGGCACGTGCCTCCATGCACAGCTAATTTTTTGTATTTTTAGTAGAGACGGGGTTTCACCATGTTGGCCAGGCTGGTCTCTAACTCCTGACCTCAAGTGATCCGCCTACCTCGGCCTCCCAAAGTGCTGGGATTACAGGCATGAGCCACTGCACCTGGCCCAGTAAACATAATTTAATAGCACATTAAAAGGATCATATACCATCACCAAGTGTCAATTATCTCTCAAATGCAAGGAAGGTTCAACATATGAATATTTATCAATATGATATATTACATTAAAAGAACAAATGATAAAAATATTTTGATAGATGCAGAAAAAGCATTTGAAAAAACTCAACACTGTTTTCTGATAAAAACTCATCAAACTGGGAATAGAAGGAAATTACCTAAAGAAGGAAATATTCTTTAGAAGGAATAGAAAGAAATAAAGACCATATGCTAAAAGTTCAAAGCTAATATTATAATCAAGGTTGAAAAACCAAAAGCATTTCCACTAAGATCAGCAACAAGACAAGGATGCTCATTCATGCTACTTTATTCAACATAGTGCTGAAAGTCATAGAGACATTAATCAAGAGAGAGAAATAAAAGGCATCAAAGTTGGAAATGAAATAGTAAGATTATCTGTGTTCACAGATATGATCTTATATGTAGAAAACCCTAAGGATTCCCCCAAAAAAGCAAACTGTGAAGAACTATGAAAAACATTCAGCAAACTTACAGGATTCCAAATCAACAAACAAAAATTCGTTGTGTTCTTATAACACAAAAATATTAACTACCTGGAAGGGAAATTAAGAAAACAATTTCATTTAAAGTAACATCCAAAAAAATGAAATACTTAGGAATAAACTGAAGAGGGTAAAAGACTAGTACAGACTAGTTTTGAAAACTATAAAACATTGCTTAAAAAAATTTAGGAAGACACAAATAACTGTAAAGACATCTCATGTTTATGGATTGAAAGAATTAATATTATTGAATGTCTGTATTCCCCCAAAGCAACATACAGATTCAGTGCAGTTCCTCTTAAAATCCCAGTGGCTGCTTTGCAGAAATAGGAAAAAACAATCCTAAAATTTGTATGGAACCACAGAAGACCCTGAGTAGCCAAAACCACCATGAGAAAGAACAAATCTAGGGAACTCACACTTTCTGAATTCAAAACAAATTGCCAAGCTGCAGTAATCAAAACAGTATGGTACTGGCATAAAGACAGACATTATAGGCCAATAGAACAGAATAGAGAACCCAGAAATAAACCCAAGCATATACAGGCAAATGTTCTTTGACAAGGGTGCCAAGACTGTACAATGTGGAAAGGATAGTCTCTCCAACAGATAGTGCTAGGAGAACTGGCTATCCACACACAAAAGAATGAAATTGGACCCTTATCTTGGAACATATACAAAAATCAACTCAAAATAGATTAGAAACTTAAATGTGAGACTTGAAACTATAAAACTTTTTTAAAAAATAGGGAAAAGTCCTCTAAAATTGATTTTGGCAGTTGTTTCCTGGATATAGCATGAAAAGCATAGACCGCCCCCCCCCAAAAAAAGCAAAAATAACAGATGCACAAAGGGGACTATGTTAAATGAAAAAGCTTCTGCTCAGCAAAGGAAACAATCAACGGAGTAAAAAGACAACTTACAGAATGGGAAAAAATATTTGCAAACCATATGTCTGATAAAAATGGGCTAAAGACTTATCCAAACATTTCTCCAAAAAAGGTATACAAATGGCCAATATGTATAAGGAAAAGATGCTCAACATCACTAATCACCAGGGAAATGCAATTCAAAATCACAATGAGATAACCCCTCACACGTGTCAGAATGGCCACTGTCAAAAAAAAAAAAACTGAAAAATACCAAGTTTTTTTGAGGATGTAGACAAAGTGGGACCTTTGTACACTGTTGGTGGAAATGTAAAATGGTGTAGTCACTATGGAAAACAGTATGAAGTTCTTTAAAAATTTAAAAATAGACCAGGGACGGTGGCTCACGCCTGTAATCCCAGCATTTGGGGAGGCCAAGGCGAGCAGATCATGAGGTCAGGAGATAGAGACCATTCTGGCTAACACGGTGAAACCCCGTCTACTAAAAATGCAAAAAATTAGCCGGGCGTGGTGGCAGGCACCTGTAATCCCAGCTACTTGGGAGGCTGAGGCAGGAGAATGGTGTGAACCCGGGAGGCAGAGCTTGCAGTGAGGCGAGATCAAGCCTCTGCACTCCAGCCTAGATGACAGAACGAGACTCCAGCTCAAAAAAAAAAAAAAAAAAAAAAAAAATTTAAAAATAGAACTACCATATGATCCATTAATCTTTCTTCTGGATATTTATCCAAAAGAATTGAAGTCACTGTATTGAAAAGATATTCCCATGTTGCAGCATTCACAATAGCAAAGAGATGGAGACAACCTAAATGTCCATTGATGGGCAAATGGGTAAAGAAAACGTGGTGTGTACATACAGTGGAATATTACTTGACCACAAAAAAAAAAAAAGGAAATCTTGTCATTTGCTACAACATGGATTGGCCTGAGGACATTATGCTAAGTGAAAATAATCTAGTCACAAAAAGATAAATGCTGCATGATTCCACTTATATGAGGTATCCGTGGTGGTCAAACTCAAAGGAATGGAAAGTAGAATGGTGGTTCCCAGGGGCTGGAACAACGGCGAATTGGAAATCTGCTATTCTGTGGGTATAAAATTTCTGTTACGCAAGGTGAAAAAGTTCTAGAAATCTGCTGTATAACATTGTGCTTGTGGTTAATAATGTACTATACATTTAAATTTTTGTTAATAGGATACATTTCATGTTGTGCACTTTTCATAAAAATAAAGAGAAATTAGTGTTAAGCCTTCAAAGCCATGGGAGAAAAAAAAGACGAAGAGACTAAGAGGATTTAGGACATATCATTCTGTGCGCATTGTGTCCCTACCATTGTAGTTGGTTTTGAGAAACCTGGTGGTATTTCACAAGAGTGGCTACATGGAAACATAGAAGGATCTTTTTGAAAATTTACTTAAAAGTAGACAGAGAATTTGGTTCAGGTAGGGAAGAGAATACAAAATGCTCCAACTTCACCACTGCTTAGCTGCCCCCAGCCCCTTTGTAGGAAATCAGCATCAGATTTCCAAACAAAAACGTTTTAAGGCATTAGTCCCAGTAAAGGTAACACTCAGCAAATACCTGGTTGTGCCAAGTCATTCGACAAAATTCCAAGCATGGCTTATGGTGATAACATCCTTTCCACAGTTAAGTCTGGTTGTATAATGGGGTGAGGGGTAGATTTGCCTCATTTTACTCAGGGACAGACAGAATCAATATCTTTCTTGCTCTTTTACTCTCTCGTGATTTCTCTCCTGCTTTCTTTTAATTAGCTAACAGAGAAATGTGCATTTGTACATTACCTTTCTTGTAGGCAGAGTATTACTGGTAGTTTTCAGAGCCCTAACTGGATAGCTTGGTGCGTGTTCATTTGAAGAAACTTTTGCAACCCAGCTGTGATCTTGTCATAAATTTGATCCTGTTCCTGTGTCCTTGTCATTGATGTGTATGCCATGGTTGTGGTTGTATCAGTCACCATCCTGGACACTTAAGAATAAATCTAGTCAATTCCCAAAACGTTTCTCTTTTTGAATTTGCACTCCAGTTAGTTTAGGTGATGCTTTTATTTGCCTTTTTGACTCTACAGCAAACTTCTTACGACTTGATCTGTCTCAGTCACCTCCGCATCCCCAGAATACAAAGCAATGCCAGGCACATGTAACGTGTACAGTAAATATTTTTTGAATGGGTGCATGGCTAAATTGACTTTTCTTAATTTTTTTATTAGATGAAGAAATCATTTGACTTTAAATTTGGGTTCTCTAAGAAAAAGCCAGAAATTGCATTTTTAAGGAAGATATTGTATTATGCTTAATTGCCTTTTTTTTTTGCTTTTCCTTTCATATAAAAAATTACTGAGTACCTTCTCTATTTCTGTTTAAAACTCCTAAAATTCTGTATGCCTCAAGAATCTTTCTAAGGCGAATATTGACATGCTTAAACATATTGACTGAAAAATGAGATTTTTTTCCTTTACATCTTGATTAATACTTAGTATTTACTATCTTTTAGGTCTAATCGTTATATGAAAGTAGCCATTCTGAACAGGTAAAGGAAAAAAATATCTGGCAATAATTGATTCAAGATCGATTAATCAACAGGTAGTTAGACAATTAGGCAGTTAGATCATCTTTATTGGAACAAACTATTGTTGTCCCTTACTTTTCAACCAGCAAGCAACTCAGCTATTACAGTAATAATACAAATGTAGATGTTTGTTACTGTTTAGTCTTGTCTTCACAGTAGTTTGGCAATTCTGTAAGTACCTAGGTGGGAAGGAAAGCACAGCTGTTCAGCCTAGTTTGTATTTTAACCAGCAAAGCACATTAAAAACATTTGTAAGATTTGTGTTTTGTGGGTGCTTCTCTTTTATTTTTGTAGCCCTGCCACATGAGAGGAAAGAGAGTTTTTTTCCCTTAGTGGCAGCTTCGTGATATGTTACCAGGGAGCTGATTTGGTTTACTAGTTGTAGAGAAACACAAAACTATGTAGACTTCTCCATGGAATATTCATAAAGGTTGAAATAACTGGCAATGAGGTATGTGGAGTTTCTATGAAGATTGTAAAAATACATAGTATTATAAAAAATAATTTTAAGGCCAAGTGTGGTGGCTCACACCTATAATCCCAATAATTTGGGAGACCAAGGTGGGAGGATGGCTTGGGCCCAGGAGTGTAAGAGCAGCATTGGCAATATAGTGAGACCTCACCTCTACAAAACATCAAAAAAATAAAAATTAGCCAAGCATGGTGGCCTGCACCTATAGTGCTTGCTACTCGTGAGGGTGCAAGGATCCCTTGAGCCCAGGAGTTCAAAATTACAGTGAGCTGTGATTGCGTCACTCTACTCCAGCCTGTGTGACGGCGCTGGATACTATCTCAAAAATTAATTGATTAATTTAAAACTAGAGCTTTGTGTGCAAGGTATTATATTGTTTATATTAATAATAACAAATAGGAAGTAACCTCTCTGAAACAGAAAATCTTTAAATAAATATATGTCAAGAACTATATTAAGTGCTTTTCATATAGTCATTTAATTTCTAAAATAAATGTATAGGCCAGGTGCAATGACTAATGCCTGTAACCCCAGCACTTTGGAAGGCTGAAATGGAAGAATCACTTGAATTTAGGGTTTGGGATCAGATCAGCCTGGGCAATGAAGTTTTTATGGAGACCTTGTCTCTATAAAAAAATTTAAAAATTAGCTGGGTGTGGTGGCGCCTGCCTGTGATCCCAGCTACTCTGAAGGCTGAGGCAGGAGAATCACTTAAACCCAGGAGGTCAAGGCTGAGACAAACTCTGATCACACCACTGCACTCCAGCCTAGGTGACAGAGCTAGACCTTCTCTCAAAATAAAATATAGACTAAATATAGTCAGCCCTTCATGATGAGGAAATCAATTCATAGAGGTTATCACTTTACCAAGGCCATATCACTGGTGGCTGACTCAGCTGTTCATGCTTTTTCCCCTAAATCACTCAGAAGATGACATTACTAAAAAGATTGGAGGCTATGAAGTGACTTCACCAGTAGCAACATGAAAATATTCCAGTGATAAGTGAAAAAGATGGATACCACATTCTGTACATCTTGATGCTGGTATAACTTTGTACTTGAGTAAAATGATCACAGTAACATATAAAGATTTAGCGTTTGTATTAGGCTGATGGAATTTTGTGTGTTTGTTTTGTAAAACGTCTGTCATTGTGTAAGATGTCTATAATTGTGCATAAGTTACTTCCCAATTAAGTATTATTTAAAGAGTGCATGCAGCATCAATTTAGTTCATCAATCAGTGTATCTAAAAAAATTTAATGTTTTTGGTGTGCGTCCTGAAAGACTGCATGGTCATTTGAGCTTGTATTCTTTTTTTTTTTTTTCTAATTTTAGATCATCAAATTGTTGGATGGAAAACGATCTCAAACTGTGGGAATCTTGATATCTAGTTTACATTTAGAAATGAAGGATATCCAACAGGGTAAGTCTTTTCTATCACTTTTGTTTTACTTTTTCCATTTTTTAAAAAACATTTCATTCTGAAGAATGTCAAACACATACAAAGTTAGAATGCCCTAATGAATCCTATATACCCAATACTCAGCTACAGAACCATCAACTCACTCTTGTTTTATCTGAAAATGCCCCCCTCTCACCAAGTAGGTTATGAAGCAAATTTCAGATGCTTTATAAGTCATCTGTTAAAAATGTTAGTACTATTGCTAAAAAATAAGGATACTTTATTTATTTATTTGTTTTACAGGTGGGGTTTTGCCATGTTGCCCAGGCTGGTCTCAAACTCCTGGGCTCATGCAATCTGCCCACCTTGGCCTCCCAAAGTACTGAGATTACAGGCATGAGCCACTGCGCCCGGCCCAGGGGTACTTTTCCAAACAATACTCCACCCAGTGCCATTATCCTTCCTTCAAAGACATTAATCGTAGTTACTCAGTATCATCACATAAGTGGTTCTAATGTCCCTGTTGTTTGTATACTCATTAATTCATCCATTCATTTATAGTTAGTTTAAATGAGGATCCAGACAAATTCCATGCATTGCCTTTGACGTGTCTCTCAAGTTTATTTTAATCTAGAAGTTTCTACCCTCCATTTTTTCCCCTTTTGTAATTTACTTGTTGAAGAAACCAGGTCACTTGTCTTGTAGACTTCCCCACATTTTAGGTTTTGCTGATGATGCTGCTATGTTTTTATTTATCATGTTCCCCTGTCCCCTGTTTTCTATAAACTGTCTGATCTAGAGACTTAATCTGAGTGGAAGAATACATCATAGATGCTATTATGTTTTCTATCAAGAAGTGCATAATATTTAGTTATCTGTGATGTTAGTGAGCACTTATTATCTTTGCCTGGATTTATTATTTCAATAGAAGTTTTCAAAATAATGATGTACTAATTCCATCATTTCTTCTTTATTAGCTGGAATACTTCTAGGGAGGAATACTTTCCTTCATTTGGTTACGTCATTGTTTCTTCATCCTTTCGTTTTCAAAATGTTGTTATTTCTATTTGGTTATCTTTGGCTCAATTTTAGATAAAAGACATTTAAAGAGAAGAGATTTTGTGTGCACATATTTTTTATTAGTATCTAGAAAAGTAGACCAGAACACATGATACCTTTTCAAAATCTGTGTCTCGCATGAAAACAATACTCCCCTTTCTCACTAATTAATTAAATGTAAATCTTTGGGGGTTTTTTTGGTTTTTGGTTTGGTTTGTTTTGAGACGGAGTTTTGCTCTTATTGCCCAGGCTGGAGTGCAGTGGCGTGATCTCGGCTCACCGCAACCTCTGCCTCCCGGATTCAAGTGATTCTCCTGCCTCAGCCTCCCAAGTACCTGGGATTACAGGCATACGCCATAACATACAGCTAATTTTTTAAGTAGAGATGGGGCTTCTCCATGTTGGTCAGACTGGTCTCGAACTCCTGACCTCAGATCATCCACCCGCCTTGGCCTCCCAAAGTGCTGGGATTACAGGCGTGAGCCACTATGCCCAGCAAATGTAAATCTTTATATTGACATTTCACTTATATTTGCTGAGTGATAATACAATCTCTTAGATGGTTTCAGTAGAATTTAGTATGAGTTTCACAGTGGAAACATCTGACACCACACGGCCCTTTAGGTTTCAGTTCATGTTGTTTAGTTGTTTGACTTTGCTACTCAGCAGAATACCCATAGGTCCTGACCTACAAGACACTTAAGTTACTTTCACATCACCTGCTACTTTTCCATTCAAGGGAGCATTGTTAGGGACTTAAAATTTCGCTACATTACAAAAATTAAAAATTCCACAAAAAACTAAAACATCTTAAATGATAATCACAGAGCATTCAGATAAGCTGTATCGTATTTAAGCTCATTAACAGAGCTGAATACATAAGTGTGAATATGAAACCTCAGATACAGTGAGTTTGGCAGAGGGTGGCTAAATAGGCCTGTCATTGAAATTAGAATGGGATTCTTCAGGGACTTTAGAAGAATCTCAAGTTAGATCTTCCAGAAGAATTGAGTTTCTGAAAAATTCACATCAGAAGAATGTGATGTTAGAGCAGAGGGAAAAAAAGAAAAACAAAAACAAATGTTTTCAGGGGAGTTTATAGTCTTTTGGTAAAGGACTGACTGTTTTGAAGCAGTTATTGAAGTTAGGGATTCTTCAGGTATCACAGAACGGTCTTGACAGTGGTCTCCATGAGCCTGGTGAAACTCAAGTGTGCTTGATTTCATCACCATGATGTGTAACGCTGTGGATGTGAGTTTTCACAATGTCCATATAACCTTAGACTATATTCCGTTTGTTTTAAGCATGTCCTACTGCAGTGCGTCAGATTTCCCCATGGATAGAAGTCATTCCAGCCATGTGATAGTCCAGTTACCAGCTCAGGACTGTAAACTTTCCCATGGCATTCTAGCCTTATTAGATTGAATGTTTACTGTGAGTTTGAAAAGATATTTGTCGATCCAGACCTTTTCCAATGTTATACTCTAGATAAGAACATGCTTCTGTGAAGCGTACGTGAACTTTCATTTCAGCGTCCGAATGTTGACTGTAGCATCACAGACTTCTAGTCCTTGTGGGAACTTTATTGTTCGTTTTCCTTCCTCAAGCACCTCTGTGATCCACCACAAAGTTGGCTCCTAAGTTCTAAAAAATCATCTCCATTCCATTTCTTCGTTTAGTAATGCATTCCAGATGAATATGGCGCTATAACTGGAGGTTAGTTTTCCTTTGGAGTCATTGACTGACACTGGCATCTGAAGGTCATTAGGAGCCCAGGCTGTATCAGTTATATTTCATTCTGAATTTGTGTGTGGAATGTACTTGGCCTTGTGTTGTCACCCTGGTGAAAGGACTCCCTGTGCTGATGTTGGCCTAAAAAGTTTATTTTAATGTGAGAGGGGCTATGGTTAGATATGACTGGAGGAGGCCAGCTGGCCGCCTGGCAAGATCTCACAGCCGACCAGCCCTGGTGAAATGACAATTCAGAGGGTGTTCTTCAGCCCTGTGGTCGTATATTCACCTTTAGCCATGCACAAAGCCCAGAGGGATTAACTCATACTTTCCAAACTCACAAGAAGCTGATGTATAAACCAGCAAGCCAGTATATTCACTTAGAGGAGAGTATTCCTTCTTACAACAACAACAAAAAAAATTGTCACATTTATTGATTGTTTTCTCCACATCATTTGCCTCTACCTGCCATTTTCCCCATTAAAATGTCATTTCCATCACTCTGTTTCGGCATATGCATAATAAGCACACGGTAAATATCTTTTTGAATGCAAAGAAACAGGCATAAACAGGTTTAGAGACAAAATACAGTACGTGATTCTTGGAAAACTCTACCATTAAGTTGATAGGAATAGAAGTACTTACAGGCCTTCTGGATAGCTTCAGGCATTCCAATTTTCCAAATGGCAATGACATTTCAATTTTTCTGAGATTGCAGCTTTGTCACCTTGATAACAGTTTTGTGTGTTTCAGTCTGCAATTGTCTCCCACAAATAGATCATGTGGCTTTTACTGGTTTGGCTGTTGAAGAGCAATCTTCTCTTCTTCTTTTGTAAGAGGAGCACTTCTCTGTGCTCTCCTTAACACAGCCTACACTCTCCATTCAGGAAGAGTTTTGCTTCTCTATACCTTAACATCTGACAGGTAACAAGGAGCAGGGCTAGTGTTCATTCCTTTATGCATTTCTTTGCCAGGAATTTCTATGGTGATTAAGCATTGTTTGCAAATAACTGGGCTAATGTGTCATGCATAAAAGTCATATATTCAAGTGTTCGTTGAATTTAATTCAATTTTTAAAAAATACAGACTTAATCTTAAACTAGATAGGATCAGAATGCCATGTATTCTATTCCAGTGCACTTGGACAAAACTGCCTGCTTGCCTGCCTTCTTTCCTTCCATAAAACTGTATAGAGTGCCAGCTCCGCATCAGGTGTCATGACTACAACAGCACATAAGATCAGGCTCTAACATCCTCAGGCACACCCAGGATGGTGGGAGAGATGTAAAGCAGCCCAACATTATAGTAGAATTGGCTATGAAATAACAGAGCAGTATCTTGACTCTTCCTGTAAAAGTTAAGATTAAGTCTGAGAGGATGAAATAGTGGTCATCACACAGAGATGGAGCTTTTCCAATTGAGGAAAGAGCATGAAACAAAACGTGAAAAACAGACATGTAATCCCTGACTTCGGGAGGCCAAGGCAGGTGGATTGCTTGAGCCCAGGAGTTCGAGACCAACCTGGCCAACATGGCGAAACCCCATCTCTACAAAAAACACAAAAATTAGCCAGGCATGGTGGTGGCACAAACTTGTAATCCCAGCTACTTGGGAGGCTGAGGTGGGAGAATTGCTTGAGCGTAGGAGGTGGAGGTTGCCGAGATCACGCCACTGTACTCCAGCCTGGGCAACAGAGCAAGACTCTTATCTCGAAAAAAAAAAAAAGAAAAAAAAGACACAGCTGGAGTATATAGATTGTATATATGAATGTGGGTTGTTTTAAGGTAGAAGGCAAGAAACACAAGCAGCATCCAGACCAGGAAGATCATGAATAGCATCACAAGAAATGTTTATATTATTGCATCAGTAATGGGGACAAGAAATCTAAGAAGGGCCATGTTGTGATCTGATTTTGAATGCAGCAATATCTATCACACTGTTCATGGAAGACTGGCCTCTAATGTTTTCCATGCTTGGCCAAAACATAGATCTCTTATTTCACTTTGTCCCACCTGCATCTCATCTCACTGCACTCTAGCCAACTACAGTGGTCTTTGATTTCTTACAGAGGCCAAGTACTTTTCTTACTCTTTGTCATTGCATGCACAACACATTTTGAATGAACAGTTCTGCACGCTCCCTCTGTTTGAAACGCTTTTCCACCCCACTCTCTATGTAGCTAGGTGTTTTTCTTTAGGTTTCAGCTTAAATGTCACCTCCTAGGAGAGCCTGCCTAGGTCCTCCCACCCTAATACAGGTCATCCTAATTTAATACTCTTATTTCCTTCACAGCAACTAATATTTTATTTGTTCATCTACTTATGTTTTTATTTACATCTACCACGAGAATATAAGCTCTGAGAAGGAGACTGCTCACTGATGTATCCCCAGCACCTTGCACCTGTGTCTGGCACCCAGGTGATGATCATGAAGTGCCTGTTGAATGAATAAAGAAAAATAGGACTGAAGGTGGAGAAATCCTTTAGAAGGGATTGTGTTTGTTCAGATGATAAATGACAAAGGTCAGAACTGAAGCTATGTCTATAGAAATGTAGAGAAGAGACCACGTATGAGGGATATTTGGAGAGAGAATTGCTACGGTTGCTCACATCAGATGCAAGGAGTAATACAGAAGACTTTTGGCTGTACCTTGGGTTTCTGGCTTCAGCAGGAATGTGTATAATGGTGCCCCAAGCCAGAAACTGAAAACACAGGTGCAGACGCAGGGCTTGAAGCATAAAGGTAAATTCTGTTTTGGATGATTTGAGTGTGAGATGAGTGGAAACATCTCAGCTAAAGTGTTCGGTGAGCATCTAAAAATCTACCTTTGTGCTAGTGGTAAGCGGATAGGGCTAGGTTAGACATAACATACTCCCAAAAGTAACCTTTATCCCTTTATTTCTACCCAAGATAGTGTTTGATGTCTTGTAAAAGAAAGCCAAATCCATATGCTGGCTGAAGTGAAAACACTGAATCACTAAAGGAAAAGCCTTGGTTGTAGAGGAAGAATGGTTTCAGGAGGGTGACCATAATACCAAAAGCACTTGCATTTGGTCCAGGAGAGACTCTGAATAAGTAATCTACTTACTGCTGGTTTTCCATCTGCTAGATAGGATGACTTATATTTAAAAGCATTTGGCATCCTTGGTCACAGTGACTGCCTACATGATTGCAAATTAGTGTTTTCATTCCATGTTAGTGAGTTCCTCTTATTCTTGTCCCAGGGGAGATAGAAAATTGCTGTTGACTATTCTTGATATAAACGTTCATATGCATTGCAACAGACTAGATGCCAGAAACCTCCTGGCATTCATTTGGAATTTCCCATACACGCAGAATTAATATTTATAATATTTAAATAACATCAAGATAAAACATCCTTTATTTAGTTCTTACTAGTTCAGAACGTCAGTTTGAGAGATCAGCTGCAACATTGGCTTTCTTTCTGTTTGGGAATCTCAGTTCAAAGTGTACAAAAGGGATGTCAGCTATGTGCTCAGAGTCTAAAACCCAGGTCTGAGAATGCCCGCTGGACCTTGTTTCCTTTTGCCTTAATAATTGCCAGAAATCTTTGTCAAAGTTTATGCAAGTTGTCTAAAACGTAATGAATTTGACCAGGCATCTGAAATCCAACATAACTTATCTAGGACTTTCCTGAGGAACAATCTCAGTCTAGCCTAGAAGAGTGTCTACTCAAAAGGCTTTTGGTCTTCAGAATTTTTTTATCGTGCACCCCAACAGTAAAAAGTTTGAGTGCATGTTTCTCAAGGTCTATTTTCTAAAATATAAGTGTAGGACATAACTAATATGCATGTTATAAAATATATGCAAAAAATATGAATTAAAATAAGATTAGTAATATTTTTAAATGTCTTGCTAATTTTGATGGCTTTGGGTTCTTATGAGCCTGATATCTCAAGGCTCAATATGCGATTACAATGAGTCTCATTATTAACAGTAATGAAGTTAAACCCACATTTTAAGTAGCCTTAGTGATAAATTCTGTTTATGGGGATCAACTTCTTGGCGGGTGCCATTTGGCTATCCTTGTTTTTACCCACTTCCATAACTGATGAAGAGTTTGTACTAGCAACCAAAGTGTCTGCTCTACCATTTTCCTATTGTTGATGGATTATCTTAAATCTGGGGTTTCACTGCAGGAGGCTTTTGAAGCCAACTTGTTTATTTTGTGAAGTTTAGTTAAAACCAGATTTTAGAATAAGAAAACTTCATTTAATACCCCCCCCATCACAATATGTTGAAAGCAAAGGAACAAGTGAGCATGCCACGTCTGAAAGAGTTTATCCACCAAAAGTGCCATGTGACCCTGACCTGCTGACATACAGACTAAATAAATGGGCAGTTTCAATTAACTTATTAAATATAGGTAGAGCTAAATTTTTTAAAATGTTAGATAAATATAAGTAGTCACTCTAATATTTTCCTTTCCTTTTCCACCTTTTCCTCCTTCCTGCTGTGTCTAAAACACCTAAGCAGCGGGGCTCCCACCTACCCTTTCTAAACCATTCTGCATTCCTTCACTCGCAGAGCTGAGTCCAGAAAGCAGAGGGTGGCATTTCTTTGTACTTTACCTTCAGGCAACTGGCTGAGACCATCCAATCTGCCTGGAATGTAATTTTGGCTTAAAAGAACCAGAACTAATGGACGAACAGAAGCAGCTTAACCCAAACTGTTTCTCATTCCACTGCCCTCTGGAGAATAGAGGGGATATAGAAGGGGAAGTTTTGTGAATTCTATGCCCTGTGCCCTTCTTTGAGGTTTGAACCATGGACAATCTTAATTGCGCCTGTAAAAGGAGACCTTGGGCAACTTGAGGCATAGTACATGCCTGGACTTAGGAGACAATTTGGATTTTTGCTTTATGAGATTGAGTGATTTTGAAGTTTTGTAATAGATTAGATAAGTATCCCTTTTGCGATTGTCCATTTCTTCCACCACCCAGGCAGCTCCTGTTCACTGTGTGTTTTATACTTGTCTCTTACTCCATCAGAGCCCAGGTTAACATGACACAATAGCAGGCATTTAGCAATTTAGATAAGATTATAAACTATACTATAGTCTCTTGATTTTTTTTTTATCTGTTTGGATGCAACTTTTGTTTGTGTTTCTTCGTGTGCTGTGTGCCTTAGTTTTCCTTGTTAGTCAGTTTTGGCATGCAGTGTAAAATTACAATTATTGTTATATACTCAAGAAAATTAGACTTTATGTTACTAGAGATTTTATTTTCTTCTTATTTAAGGTAAGGTATTTTCAAGTTCCAGGTTTCTTTTTTTTTTAAAGAAATTCTGTCTGCTGTGCCTTAGCTGCAATATTGATTATTTTTGAAGAACTGCAAATAGTTTGTAACAAAGATTAAAGCTTAATCATTTCATTGCATATGTTGCAATAGCGTATTAGAAGTGAACCATGTATTAGCATGAATTAAATAATGGTGGAACTATGAATGTATATACTAAATAAATGAAATTTTCATAACATGGGCTGTATGTGCTTCCCACTCTGGGATTGCTGATCAATGTAAAAAGCATATGATGCCATTTAGAGACCCTGGTTTCTTTGTAGCCTTTTGTGGGTAGTTTGTTCTTAATTGGTTAATTCATTGAAACTTTTTTTAGATGGTAAGGATTTTAAGTGGAATGATTATTTATAGCCTGACATCTATGAAAATGAAGTACAATCTTTGTCCAGTAAATTACCACTGCCTTGGAGGATAGTTGGGGTGGTTGTCGAATTGAGCTTGGGAAACCAAGCAGTGTGACTTTGTGCCTTAGTTTCATCATCTGTAAAACTAGAAACAACAAACGCACCCGCCTCATATGATTAAATACAAAACACTTAGAACAATGCCTGGTACAGAGGAAGCTGCCAATAAATTCTATCAGTTATTAAGTATTAATCCCCAATAAAGTCTGCCTGCTGTCCTCACCCTGTGGTGGAGTGGACAGAGATTCTTTTAAGCTGCTACTTAATTGGTGCCCTTAAGCGTCTCATTTGGATACTTGCATAGAGTGAGGATTTGTGCATATCTGGGTTTGCACAGGTAGGCCTGGTGCTTATTGGAGGTGGAACCTAGTGTCCAGTAGGAGAAACACAAGGTATAGGTTGTAGGAGAACTATGACCATTTTGAAGAGGCTTGTTACAGAGCTCTTCAGCGGGAGCAGATCTGTACGGTCCCCTGGCCTTGCCTCCGAGTGGTCCTTCCACGCTCCACACCCCTCTCTACTGGCTCCCCTTCTTTCCACTTCTTGCAGTTTTTTTCATAGACTTGGTGTTTGCTCTCAAGGATGACCTCATTGTTGGGAGGGAAAACTGTGGGAAGATGTTTCTGCCTTCCCTTTCCTCAACTCTCAGATTGTACTACTGCCTCTTCCCATGAACCCCATGTTATCGTTGCCTTTGTAGAGGTCACGGAGTAGGTTTGTCAGAGTTTTGTGGGATATAGGTGACATGAGAGTTTCAAAAAACCAAGTCCTTCTATATTTCTTTCCCTGCTCTGTTCTCTTTCTCTTACTGATTGAATTTCTGTCGAGTTCTGAAAAATACCAGTATTTTGGGCAAAGCAGCTAAGTTTTATTTTGGCTGTTGCAGAGTTAACATTGTAAACAAAATAATTTCTGCTAATAGAGTCAAGTAATCCTATCAAACTTTGCTTTCCTGGGCTGGACCAGACTATATCTAGTCCATTTGCAAAACATTATTACATACCCGCTTTGTGCAAGAGGCTTACATCAGTCACTTAAGGAAATAAAAAGAAGAATAAAACAGGCTACGTACAAATCATTCTCAAAACCACCGTCAGCCGAAACCTGGTGAGCCAACCCAACCCTACCTACCTGTGGCATCTCCCACACTTCGGATGACCAGATTTACTTTGGCTAATCTTAACAGACTATACAAGGTATGCCTTTCTCACCACCGTGTCCCATGCTTCTTGCTCAGAGGTGCTCCCTCAGTCAAAGAGAACAACTCCCTTAAATAACTCTGCCTGTCTTTTTACTCATTAGAAGCCCTTCGAACAGCAAGTGCATTCTTTGTTTATATGGGCATGGTACACTTGGAGAGAGAAGTGTTCAGGGTTGAAAAATGGCTGGAGAGCTGAGAGAATCCTGCATGTTCTTTCTACTTAACCCTGGTCTTGTGAAAAGCCATCTCTTACCCGGAGGGGGAATTTTCCCTGTTGTATGAGACCCTGACCCCTTGCATGTGCCCTAAAGCAGGCACATAGTTTTTATGTGTGCCTGTTAGTTTGAATTTGTGATACTGATCTGCTTTTTGTCCCTGCTGACGGTTATTATATCTTAATGGGCGAAACACTACTCTAATGATCCTTGTGTATATAATTCTTGTGGTACAGAGCAGGCACCAGAGGACCACATAAAAATGTTTGCCTCAATTTCCCTGCAAAAAAGAAGCCCAGAAACCAGACTTGACCAAGTAACAGATTTTTAAAGGTAAAGGAATCTAATAAAATTACCAGCTTTTCACAGCGTGTGTCTACTTCCTTTTGACATATTGTGAGGTGTAGGTGAAATATTCTAACCGAACTGACAGTGTGAGTGGGACAACTAAGGAGGGAAGGAGATAAAAGTAAAAACCACCAGCAGTGATTGATATTGCAGTAGCAATGAGCTGTTGGGGTCTCCCCTTTGTGGACTTGACACTTCACCTTTCTGACACCATCTGCAGGAGTGTTAGTATAATGAGACCTATACAGATGGAAACAAAAGTAGGATTACTTGGAATTACTGTATCAGAGCTTTGAGGCTTGCTGTAAAATTGCATAGGCTTGTATTTGTTGGTTCAGTTTATGAGCGGTGTGCCTGTGTGCACACACATGCGTGGAAGAGACAGAGACAGAAAGTGAGTGTTTTCAAAGTATAAAATGGAGGGAGCGATCTGATCTTGGGTGACGCCGAAAATAGTTTAGTTGAAGACTGACTTCTTTCCACATTGTGATCATTATGATTACAAATTAGTTAACTAATTAATTGGGCTTATGTAATGGCTAATAAGTTTAATGGTAAGTGCTTGCAAGAATGACTTAATCGGAGAGCATTCATTGATTCTCTAATACGTTGTTCCAGTATTTTGAGAATAGAATTATCAGGTGTGGATTCTGGCTCTCTAGGAACCTAAACTATATTTGGTGACTAAGACATGGGATTATGTACATGTAAGGCAGTTCTCTTAGGCATCCTAGGACTTGGTAGGCCTTTTTATTTTTCAGACTTCTGGCTGATACCCTAACCTTCCCAGGCCAATATTATTAGAAATAATACAACTAATTTAATCTCCATAAGTTCTAGGCTCAGTATCAATCTCTTGATATTGCTTCTGCTACCTCTGAATTTTCTTTTACTTTTTAGATTTTATTTTTAAGATCCTTCCGTGGAAGAGGAGAAACTTCAGTGGAATACTTGGCATTGGCCCTAAGTTCATCTGTTTATCTACTTCTTTTACCTGTCCTTTCCTCTCTACTCCATTCCTTTCCCAGTCCCTGGGGGACAGATCAGTAGTCATGCTCACCTCTTAGACTCCTCTGCCTGTTTCTGGGGGGATGGTACAAAGCTCTTCCCCTAAACCTAGGCTCAAAGCCTCAGAGTGGTTTCAGGCTAAGTCCCCAGAGCTAGTTAGCAATGTCACTATAATAGTGCTCTGTAGTGTCTTTCTTTTTTGCCCTATCCTTTCTGTCCACACTATTCAAGTTTTTGCTACCTCTTGCCCATTACAATAGATTCTAAATTAGTCTTTTCAAATTTTGACTTTTTGTGTGTGTAATATAATTTTGTCCAATTTACTCCTCCATTCATAACTGCTCAACAGCTCTCTCCTGTATAACAAGTGTATTACAGGTTCATCGTGGCATTCAAAATTCTACAAGGTTTTACCCCAAACTATGTTTGGAGTGTATCTTTCTAGTCCCTTTAATTAAGTCTCTCTTCAAACCAAAATTGAACTACCTGCCATTGCCTAAACATTTTGTGAGCCTATTATCTGCTGCTTCTAGCTGGAATGTTTTGTATCCTTCCAGTTTACGTTCACTGGCACGTATTGCATACTTACAAATTGTCATTGCATGGATGAATTTAGCTTAATTATTGGTGATTAATAGATTAGTGTTTTCAGTGTCTGCCTAAAGCAATATAATAGTTGAACTTTTACTCAACATTTTTCCTAAGGAGATACAGCTATTTAAAACTTTTTTGAATAAGGAAAGATATTTTCCTTATTCATTCCCTAATAATGAGAAAACTCATCTTTGAAGTTAATTATTTTTGTTAGGGAGTATTCAGGCAAGCGGTATAATCTACACCGAGTGTGTGAGTTGGGGGCACAATTATGTAACTGCTGGCCAAACCTTGATTTTTGGACAGGGTCAAATTGGGAAGAAGCAAACAACCATGATTCAGATACATGCCTTATAAGGCTGTGCCCCTTTAGAGGCTCTCTGGTTTCTTTTTAAGACCCTATGTTCTCTTTGTCAAGAAGCTTTTCCTCCCATCAGCAGGACTCAGTCTTCAGGAGTCGTATGGTATAATTATACCCACAAACATCTATGTTATACATGCTACACCCCTGGTACCATGCTGGGAGACAGTTATCAAGATGCTTAAGAAATCAACTGCTGACTGCAAGGCTTTCACAGTCTACTGGGAGAAGGAAACAGTTATGCAACATACCACAGATTCTTAAAGTATACCATCTTCACCTTATGTAAAATATGAGAGAGGTACCATGGCAGAGGAAAAGATTGAGGACTTAATGATGTGAGGGTCAAAGGATGTCCTTCCAGGGCTTTGACCTCTGTGCCATGGAGAGATGAAGAAAGGGAGGAAGCCATGGCATGTTCAGGAATGGGGAAGGACACAGGGTGACTGGAACCCATGGTGCATGGAGAACATGGTAGGAGATGAGTTTGGAAGTGTAATTGAGGCGAGGCAGGGAATGAGCTTAACAACCAGGCCAAGGAGTTTAGACTTCGCCGAGTGTTTAAAGGAAGATATTGGAGGTATGTTAAGCATCACAGTAAAATTTTGAAATCCATGTTTTTAAAAAGTAACCTTGGTACAATGAAGGATGGATTGATGAGAAATATTGAAATTATAGATAAAAATATGATAATACAGACTTGGAGGTACCTGGCATTTCCCTTAAGACACTTGATCCATTATTTTTTGTAATTAGAGTTCTGTGTCATAGACCTTTCCTGTTAATAATGCTTTCTGAAGTTGGGTCTTGAGTGGGGTTTTAAAGGACTGGAAGGGTTTCCTAGTAACCGCGATCAGAAACACCTAAGAATTCGGGAAGGTTGCATTTACAGCACAAATCACTCAGTAGTTGTAGTTTTCTTTCTCTAACTCTTTCCAGATGTTAAAGGGGATAAGGCATTAACAAGCATTAAAACACATTTACAATGTATATATTTGAAATCATGATAGTAATAGCTCATATATACCATTTTGGGCTTATACCATGTTCTACGTGCTATGCTAAGCATATATCTTACCTCACTTAATATTTTCACTAAGTGGTATTAGAGCTGTTTTATAGATATGCTGAAGCTCAGAAAATTTAACATGTCAGGATCACACAATGAGTAAATTTTGCTCTGTCCATGATAGTCACCTTGATTTTTTTTTTTCTATACCTTGAATGTGTTCCTTCAGAAAAAGAAACTTGTCTTTGCAGTTACCTCTCCCTGGGACGTTATTCTCCAAGATAGCCACAAAACTGATCTCTGCAGGTCTTCTCTTAAATGTCACCTCCCAAAGAAGCCTTCCTTGAGCCTTCTGTCTAATGTTGTACATTTCTCTGTTTTACTTTCTTCATAGTAAATTGTTATCTGAAATTATGTATTTACTTGTTTATTTTCTGTCCCCAGACTGGGATATAAATTTCATGAGATTAATTAAGTACTTTGCACTTCTAACTTAAAAATCCACAGTATTTAGAACAGATCCTGTACACATCCAACAAATACTTATTCAAGGGCTGGATGGAGGAATGAATGAATCCATGTCTTCAGAGCCCATGGTTGTTCTCAGTCCCAACCTCTCTGGGTGTTATTTTTCTGCTACTGAACACACTGGAAGGGGCACAGCTGACAATACCATCTGAGGAACTGTGTGCCTGGGCCCCAGACTGATTAACTTTTAAAAACTGAGTATTTACTTACTAGGAAAAGAAACTCACAGGTCATTCTCTTTCTCATTAGTTAAGATTATTTGATTATATCTAAGCTTGTAATATATAGTTACCCAGGATGCATGATTAGTTAACATGTAAACATTTTTGGTAGATTATTGTTTAGAATTTGACCTTTTCTTATGCGCTCATGTTGGTTGATTTTTGTGAGAGAATACTGAGATTTACATAAAATAGACATTGTTTCTGGCTATTTTGGTTTTCAACGCACTAGACATTTAAAAATGCCTGTTGTGTCTGACAAATTAGTGGATTTATGTGATCTCCACACACAAAATAACAGTCTTGAGAGGACAAATCCTTTCTTTCTGTCCTTAAACTGCATTTTTCTTTACTGGTTTCACATTGGCCTTTGTGGATGTGTGATGTTCCTTTGTCTTGGTGGAATCTGAGGTGACTTACTTTGACTCTAGCATATTAACCTCCTCTTTTCTCTCTGTTCCATGTATCTAGGAATAGCTTGCTGATTAACCCCTAAGTTTGAGAAGGTGGCCTGCAAAGGAATTTTAAGTACATTTCTTGCTGTTCTGTGAGGTTCCATGATCTTAGCTCAGTTAATTTTAGCTTTGTTAAAATTGTATGAAAGGGTTCATGTGATTCTAAACCACAGAAGAAGCAAAATACCTCAAAAACAACCTGCCCCTTACCTTGGTCCCCACCTTCCCAAAAACCATGGTGTAATGCAAATGAACAGAATAAATAGTTGACGAGCAAAATTTTAAGGCATTCTAAGTATCACTGGTTGGTTTAATAAAATTAATTAGCCTGCCACGGAGAAAATTTACTAGCGTGCTGGTTAATTTCACAATGTAAAGTCAGGGAAGGGAGGTAGGGTTGAGGGAACAAACCTTATTAGTTTTGAATAATTATTTAAAGATGTGGACCTGCTTATTTCAAACACTTCGATAGCCAAATCCATTAAGGATTTTAAGTCTCAATTTTTGCATCCCAGTATCTATGGGAAGGTACCTCTCTAGATGAAATCATAAGCATATTAGTTAACGGCTAAATTAATCTTAAATAATACAGAACAAGTAGAATCCTAATAAAGCCATGGGAATGAGAGCCTGCCTGAAGACTGGCTCATGGGAGGTTTCCATAATCTTAATTTGCTATTGATGCAATTATTGTTTTTTCTTGTCTTTTTAATCCAAACAAGATGTTGGCAGTGGCCACGGAAAGGTGCCTGAAATCACATGCCTGAATTCATTTAATTTGCCAACATTGTCTTTTTTCTCTCTTTCTTTCTGGTAATGGGCAAGAGTCAGTTCTGGTGCATTAGGTACTAAATCTCTTCAATTACCATCGGGAAGAAAGATTTAAAATTGTGCTTCAAACCTACAAACTGATTTAGTTTTAAAGCACAAACACTTCTCCTGTGGAGCCTAAATTAAACTGCAGAAAGGACTCAGAGCCTGAGGAATTAAACAAGGCAGAGCCAAGGCTCAGGCCAATGATAGGAACCATTTTGGTTTCTTTCATTTGAGACCCCTGGTGCGAAAGGAAGGGGAGCAGAGAGGCACAGCTTGTGTAAGAAAACGCAATACTCTGTTAATTGCTTGGAAGCTGGATGTGGAGTAAACATTGGTGCAGGGGACCTAATCAAATCCCTTATCCTCTTTTCTTTTTGGGTGCTTGGCAGCCATTTTCAATGTGGATGACTCCGTGGTTGATCTGGAGACCCTGGCAGCCTTATATGAAAACGTGAGTGTCAAAGACTTACAGAGCTAGTATTTCCATATTTATCTTCTACCTGAGAAATGACTGAGCTGTTCATGTTCTTTGGTAGTAAGGGTTTTGACGTGGCCTGGAAGAGATTAAGGCATAGAAACACAAGCTTGAATGGGAGTGGATGTGAGAAGCACTAGATTCCTGACTCCCACTGTGGTATCTGGGCTAGCAGATCTCATTGCACACTTGCAAGGCAGGGCATCTCAGGTGGACACCATTTACGTGCCCTGGAACCCAGTCCTGTCACTTGCTGGCCAAGTGAATGAAGGTAAGCTGCCTACTGAAATGATAGCGTGCACTGGTGTCTACTTCTGAAGAATGGGACTGCTAATACCAGCTTGGATGATTACTCTTAGTCCAAATGAGTTGATGATATTGAATGTGGGAAGGTGTGTAGAATGGTAGGTATGTGTTTTGGATTTAGAATGAGACAGTCTTAGGTTTGAGGTCCAGCTGTGTCTACCATTGCCTGCTAAGTGACCTTGGGCTAGTTACTTAAACTTCTTAATCCCGTTGTGATCATCAGTATAGCGGGGATTATAGTAGGCTCTGATTTTTTTTTTTTAGTCAAATGAGGATTTAATATATGTAGCAGTAGCAATGTATTTTGAAAGTCAACAGGACTGTACACATATAAGGTTTTTGATTTGGGTTTTAAGTGGACATAACCAGCAGAATTGTCAGGCTCTCTTGAGAAGACAACACAGGAGAGTCAGAATTCCCATGATTGTTCATTGTTTTGGTTCACTGACTGTTAGGCTACAAAAACATAGATTGAACCACATTCTCTTAAGTAATGGTATTTCCCAGGAAGCTGTCTAGGGCTCTATAGTGTACTGTGGTCACCAGTTCAAAAGATGATTCGTTTCATATTTATGTCCCCTGGGACCTTAAGTTTCTTACAGAAGATTTCCATAGTCTAATAGTCTAGGCTTGGTGGCATCACCAATTCCTTGCTCATTTTCACATCTTTATATGTATCAGGAGCTACTTAGTACAAGTGGGTCGGAACTTCTCACGTTTCCACTAGTAAAGCTTTCGTTAATAAACCAGAAAGTACACAAATACCAGGCCATTGGGAGCTAATTATGCACTTGAATACTTGGAGGTCAGCAAGGTATAGAGGCAGAAAGAGGGAGTTCCAAGTCTGAAGCTCTTTAACAGTTGCTTAGTACAAGCCTCAGTGGAATAATCTGTAAAATGAGGATACAGTGGTTCATGTTAAAGAACTTTGTCAAAGGCAGTACCTTCCAGATGCTTTGTGTTGTTACCATGAGCTCAGGACTAAGCACATGGTTGCCGCTTGTTAGCTCACAGTAGAGATAAGCTTCATTCAACTGAAATAGTTGGATAAATTGAGAAAGTAAGTGACTCAATGCCAAAATAAGTGGTACAGACAATGAGTGCTTACGAAATTTGGAAAAAGGGACGTTGTTGACTAGAAATGAAAGAGCTGCGAGTTCATATAATTTAGGGCTGTTCTAAGAGTAAGGAAACAAATTCTAAGAACAATATTCCCCCAGCCTCCTTACAGAGGAAGAGATGGGGGATTCAAAAGTAGAGCTCAAATAGCTGTACTTCTGTGTCCAGCTGCGTGTACTTGTTAGGTCCATTTGCATTGAATCTCAAACTTGAGCATGCATCAGAATCACCCAGTGGGCTTGCATCCCCCCACCCCCACCCACACCCCAAGTTCTTGTGTCTAGGGTGGGCCAATAATTTGCATTTCTGACAAGTGACAGGTGATGTTGTTGATGCTGCTAGTCTAGGAACCACACTTCGAGACTTTGAGACCCACTGCCATAGCCAGAGTCTCACTTCCCTTTTTTTTTTTTTTTTTTTTGGTTTTGTTTTCTATTTTGATACAGAGAGCCCAAGAGGATGAGCTGGTTAAAATAAGAAAGTATTACGAGACATCCAAAGAAGAAGAACTGAAGCTGCTGGATAAACCTGAGCAGTAAGGATACTTAACATTTTTCTGTTAGGCCAAAAGGAGAACTGCAATTTCTGTCTTCTTGTCTCCCAGCTCAGAATAACCAAATCTAAATGTGCAGCCAGCTAAATCACAACACCGTCATTCCTGTGACCTGTTGCATGCAGCAGGATGACCCTGCTGCCGGGAAAAGCAGCGCTGAGATTTGTGCTGTTGGATACAGTGTGTCTCACCCCCCTCCCCCACCCCAAGAGACTCCCCTTTCTTTTTCTAGCAACTTGTTAATTCCTCCTAGACTAAACAATTTGACCAAAAGGGTAACTGAGGAAGGAAGAAGGCATTGTTCTGTTTAAGGTTCTCTTGATGAAGTTAAAAAGATGATATCAGAGTCACAGAATTCAAGTTTATTTTCCTAAAGGTCATATCCAGTAAGTGCAGCCTGAATGTGCTAGCTTTTCCCCAAACTTCTCCACCTGCTCTGCCCAAATGTGGCTTTTTCTCACCCTCACTCTGTACATGCTTGTTTTTCTCTCCAGTCACTATCTATGGCTGCTTGCTCTGTTGTTTGTGATGCCGTTCCATAGGCTTTGAAGACCCAGAACTCCGGGGTGTAACTGAGTGACTCTTGGGGTCTCGAAGCCATAGATAAGCTCCCGGGGCTCTGCAGCCCCACGACCCTGCCCAGCTTTCCAGGGCTTAGGACTCTGTGAGACTGTAAAATGGGTTCAGAGGACCTGTGTCCTCTGACACAGGTTCAGAGGGCCTCTTTTGCCTGTTGCTACCTTGAATTTTTTTTGTCCAGTTCAGGCCAACCCTCTCAATCTAGAGATGAGGCAAGTGTAGAAAATGAAGCAGAAATGGAGCTATCAGATCAGGGTTACCAGTCAGCCCTAGAAACTTCCAAGGTTCTCCGGCTTGCACTGGAGTTCCATGCCTTGTCCCTTGGGTCCTCTAGAAACGGGTCCCCAACCCCTGGGCCACAGACTGGTACCAGCCCATGGCCTGTTAGGAACCAGGCCACACAGCAGGAGGTGAGTGAGAGACAAGCCGGCATTACCACCTGAGCTCCGCCTCCTGTCAGATCAGCAGCAGCATCAGATTCTCATAGGAGCACAAACCCTATTGTGAACTGCGCATGTGAGCGATCCAGGTTGCACGCTCCTTATGAGAATCTAATGATTATCTGTCACTGTCTCCCATCACCCCCAGATGGGACCATCTAGTTGCAGGAAGCTAGAGGGACCATCAGGGCTCCCACTAATCCTAGATTATGGTGAGTTGTATAATTATATCATTGTATGTTACAATGTAATAATAATGGAAATAAAGTGCACAATAAATGTAATGTGCTTGAATCATCTTGAAACCATCCCACCTCCAACCCCAACCCCTGGCCTGTGGAAAAATTGTCTTCCTCGAAACCGGTCCCTGTGCTAAAAAGGTTGGGCACAGCTGCTCTAGAATACCTCAGTCCCCATGGATGCCTGGACATTTAGACTCAGGAAAACATCTTAAATGGCTGAGGATGGGAGTTGGGAAGAGAATTCTGGGTTTACTCAGTTGACGACAAACCTACATGATGGTTCTGGGAACCTTGGATGACTTGCTCTCACATGGAGCATGGTCCAGGATCCCCCCTCAAAGTAGGTTTCTAAAGCCTAGGAATATTGTGAATCAAGTCAAGTGAGGTTCCCTTGCTGTCTTGTTCCACTGACTTGAGACACCTTCCTTACCAATCCCTACCCTCAACTGATCCTATAGTTTATTTCCAAGTCATATTTCCTATTATAACAAATGAATCCCTCTTACGGTGCTAATGACTGAAAGTAAAGTGATTAATAATGGGCTGTTTCAACACTGAAAAGGCCATTTGGTTGTATTGGGGCACAGTGGGCATATCAAAGCACTTGGGTAGTGCTGGTTATACCAAGTTACACAGTAATATTCTCCTCTAAGCCTGGAGTTGGCAAACCTTTCCTGTAAAGGACTAGATAGTAAGTCTTTTAGGCTTTGTGGCTTACGGGATGTTACAAATATTCAAGTCAGCCATTGCTGTGCCAAAGCAACCACAGGCAGTATATAAACAAATGGGTATCGCTGTGCCCCAATGACATTTTACTTATGAACACTGAAATTTGAATTTCATGTCATTTTTACATGTCATAAAATGTTGTCCTTCTGTTGACTCTTTTTTCAACAATTTAGAAACGTAAACATCGTTCTTTTAATTCATGGGCCATACAAAAACAAGTGGTGGCCTGGTTTTGGCCTGTGGGCTGCAATTTGCCAACCCCTTAACCACCGAGCAGCCCTTGTTCTAAGCTATGGGAATGGCTGATCCGGTGAAATGAACAGGCAGGGAGAGATCATGCGTTTCTGCTACTGTCCTAATTATTGTTCTAATTGCCGGGACTTAGATAATGGTAGCAGGTAATTAACACACAACTTACTCTTGTTTTCTCTACTGATGATCTAGATAGAAAAGCATTTTTAATGTTTATAAATGGTCATTGTAATGGCTTCGTGAACACGCAAACCCAGCAAAAAGGACTGTCATGCTGTGCTGGTGAGGTGACTTGCCTGGGCTCAGTTGCGGGAGGGTGAGGCACGGATAGATGGGGGCCTTCAGACCTGGGTGCATTTCACCTTTGCTACCAACCTCCTGCACAAACCAGCATTTGTTTGATTTATGCCACTCTGATTCTCTGGCAACTTATTTGCCATTAACTCCAAGTGAGTCGACTATAAGCATGTTTTACATACTGGAAAATATGAATCATTTATAGTTTTAACGTTGCAGTTTCCTAAGAGCCCTGTGGTGCCCAGTCCTATAAATCAGAGCATGGAGAGGCTGGCCTCATCACTCACCTCATCAACTCTCTTACACTCCAGTGCCAGATTTAGAAAGCCATTGCCCACAGAGGTGTCATCTGTTTGGGACCAGGCTGTCTGAGAACCACTCCCTCTAGGGATGGCCGTTGACTCTTATGCTGCCGGGTAATGGTTGTGAGGTGAGGCTCTACTGGGTTTGATTAGGCCTGGTACACACTTCTCATGGCCTAGGGTGAGAACACTATACACAGTCTATTGTGATTTTCATGAAGGTCCACAGCTGCCTTGGGGCCCCCACACAGTAGACTCTGTTAGTGTAATCCTCCATCGAAGAATGCAGGTTGCAACATTCAGTTATGCTATGTGTATCGCCTATGTGCACATACACCTTAGGTGATACCATTCAGAAATTTAGGGATAATAAATCAAATGTTAGTCTCTTAAAAACATGAGCCACATTGCTTCATTCCACCCGTCAGCTGAGTTGCTGCTGTAGATGTGTAACCCAAATAATGTGAGACACAGAACGTCTTTCATATATTAGAAGCTGAAGTTGCAGTCCTTCCTAGAAGTATTAGCCTACATTGGAGAAAGAAGGGAAGGATCCCTCATTTGTGGCTTCTTTTGGGAATATTTAGTCTTCTTTCTTACTGAACCTAGAATGTAAAGTTAGACTAGCCCAAAAGGAACTCAATCCATAAATATTCAGAAGTACCAAGGCCCAGTGTCCAAGATCCCATGCTTGGGAATATTTAAGAGAGTTACTGTGTTTGCTCTTGTGGGTAGAGGATAAAACAGTAATGGGGCAGGGCAGGGGAAGAGAAGCTATTTGTCAGATGCTTGCTTCACAGCCTTCAAAGTAACCCATACCTCTGGTAGCTTAGCAGATAAATAAGAGAGGAGCTATGGTGCTCCTTGCATGGCTGTTTTTGGATGGCAAGGGTCATAAAACTCTATTTTTTTCCTCCAAATTTGCTTCTTTATTATTTTGTATTTTCGCTATACCCAATATCCACGCCAAAACTGCAAAGTCATCCTGGACTCTTCACAACATCTCTTAGGAGTAGGTTGCTCTGGGTCTTGTTACCTTAGCAGCTTCCTCATCCATTTGCCCCTCTCCATTCACACTGCAAGCCCCTCTTACCTTTCCTCTTGGAAGATTACAGCTGTGGTCTAGGAGGTCTCCCAGCCTCAAATTTCCTCTCCCATCCAATCAGCTGAGCTGCTGCCATGGAGATTTTCTACAACAAAAAGCAGAAACTGTCACCTTCCTGTTTAGAACCCTTCATTCGTTCAGAAGTTTAAACCCTGTATTTTAGAATACAGAACACAATTTTAGCATCTGCCTTCTACTCACTTCCCCCACAGATACCATTCAGCCTATCTGGGCTCTCCCGGCAGTTTCTCACATGTTGTGCGTGAGCATCACAGGGCTCCGGGGACCCTAGCTGACAATGTTCCCCCCATGACACTTGAGTGTCCTGCATTTGCTTTCCTAGCTCCTCTTCTGGATCCATCACCGAGAGCACTCATTCACACTCCACAGTAATTGTTGGTTTACTTCTCAGATTATCAAGATGGGACTGTAGATTAAGCTCTGTTCTCAGATCTTCGCATGGTCCCTGACACACTGTAAATGCCTCATACATTCCTAAAGGACAGACTGACATTCTTGGTGACTGATCTTCTAGTATGAATTTTCAAGTCTTTCCAAAAGTAATGTAAAATTATGATCTTTTCTCCCCCCTCCAACTCTTCGTATGGGTTGCAGACCCTTCTGCTTAAAGAGGACATTGGAACATTTAAGATTCTTTAAGAGCTTTTCCAGTGCAAGCCCTAACCCCAGAAAGGCTTTAATCCTAGAGAGCCTTGCAATTCTATCCTACCCTTTCTTGCGTAACATACATTGATAAGACTATGGTCTTGTCGCCTCATATTGGTCCTATGCTTCCTCTTTTGAGATTAGTTATAGGTAACTATTCATTCAGCATTTTCTGCTTTTCATCTAAGTCCTTTTTGGTGAGCCGAGGCATTGATCTGTATATTTTCCCAGGTGGTGTCTGTAACTGCTTCGCTCACTGTGATAGGAAGTGTACATGCTCTGGGAACTTGGGTCCTGAATGACGCCTCATGGGTCACATTTAGAAGGGGAGAAATGCAGGGCCCTTCTTTCAGAATAGCTCAGCATCTGAATAAATACGTCTTCCCCAGACTCATTACAGGATCAAATGCTGTCAGTCTTGTGAGCTTTTTGCTTCTTATGTATTTATAAAGACTGATGATACCCCTGATTTCAGTCATGATAAATGAATAAATTGTTTAATATTCATTAAGAAGTAATTTACACAGAGTTTAACTTTTTCATCTTGTCCTAATGCAGAATTCCTATGAATTTCTACTTTTATACTTCATCAGATAATTTTCATAATAATGGGTTATTGAACTTTAAAACAAGATTGTGTTTTCTCTTATGGATATTCCTTGCTTTCATTAAATGTCATCTAAAAAAAGATTGTGGATTATGACCTAGTCGTGGAATAAATACGAAATCAATTGATGTTAGAAATTAATTAAAACCCAAATCTCCCTAAAGGTAGAGGCAGCACAGGGTGTATAAGCAAAGAAAATATCTTTCGGTATAGAAAGAAGTAGGCTTCAGCTTTGTTCCTATGTAAAACCATTTTTGGTGAGAGATGGCAAAATTCCTTGGTAATGACGTTATGAGTTGACCAAGACTTTCAGAAATATCAGTTAATCATCATCTCAACACCAAAATGAAATAAATGGCTGTTAGTAGATTTTCTCCTTTTCTGAATTCATGTCCAACTGTTTCCACCCATTTTCATTTATACCCCTTCCTCTGGTGGTTGGCCTGGAGAGTATGTCGCTCTTTCCAACTTAGTTTTGCAAAGGGAACAAGTGCCCAACCACTCAGACAGTGAGCTACTGTGTGTAGGTCAGTACTCACCTTTAGCTTTTAAGATCTGTCTTGCCACATTTTTAAGGAAACTTTAGGTTGTCTACTTAATGAGTGCCTGCTTTGTTCTAAATACTGAGTTGTAAACTATGTCTATGTGTGTAAGTTAATGTGAAAAAGTAAACAAATATCTGGAGAATGTGATCATTATAGACCATTATGTAACTCACTGAGCAAAAATAGTAGCAATATCACTTTAGTAAGAGATTTTTTTTTAAATCACTTGTCTGTAGACATTTGCCTCAAGTCTTCAGTTTGCTTAGCCTGTATAAATACACCTTTAGAGAATGCTGCATTATGAGGGAGTTTATTGCATAATTTTTCTCGTGTGTTAAAGACTGGGGCTTTCCATTTGGGTTTAGTCTCTTGTTTGGGCAGCAGGAGATAGATAACTTGTTTAGTATACTTGTGTTAACTTTCTGTTCCCGAAGGAATTTCTATACCATGCATTTATTCATCATGCTAGAACTCCTTTAAAAAACAGCCCTGTTGTCAACAATGGAAACCATGCCCTTGGAATTCCTTGAGTCTACCTATGTGACACCTTTTATAATTGTTGAGATTGTTAGGTAAGGAATGTTCCCAAAGTGGGTCTTTTTCAGCTGTCTTTTTATTTTCCTTGTGATTATATGTGAAGGTAGATGACACATTTTCTTTTTTACAGATTTTTACATGAGTTAGCCCAGATTCCTAATTTTGCTGAACGTGCCCAGTGCATAATCTTCAGATCTGTCTTTTCTGAGGGTATCACCTCCTTGCACAGAAAGGTAGAGATCATCACGCGAGCTTCTAAGGTATGTTTACTGTCTAATTTAAAAGATAGCCTTGCTCTGAAGAGTAAAGAAGAAAGTGGGAGAGACCACTTTAATGCCATTATAGAAACCTTTTTGGACTCAGATTGTATGTTTTTCTAAGTGTAAATTTGATGATTATCTTGCCCGTGTGTGTGTGTATGAGAGAGAGGGAGAGAAAAGGAGATGCAGATGGATGAAGAGGGAGAAGGAGGGAAAAAAATGACACTTTTACAGATTCCTTCTAAAAAATTCTGAGTATCTTCCAAAGTACATACTGGCCACTAAAAACCAATCTAAATAGCATGGTCTGTTTCTTATTTTACAATTTGGATTGCAGAAGAGATTTTGCTTGAGATCCATACATTTGATCATCTGAAATGTGTCAACCTAATAAGAGGATCCTAGAGACTTGATAAGTGAAATAAATGACTGACAGTGAGTCATTGGCAAAGAAATATTTGTTGGCTTTACTACACTGGTGTTCATTATAAGGTTAAATTCTAGCACCTGCCTTTTTCTCACAGTTGACCCATGCTCTTAAGGACACGTTATTCTTCTCCACAAATACTGTAGTACTTTGTTCCTTATTTGGAGAAATGATTTTTTTTCCTCTAAGATATGAGATATTTCAGTAGAGAATAAATATTACTGAAATATAATTATACACGCACTAATAATACCTGAAAGGCAGGAGCAGAAAAAGAAGTCTGCCTGGAGCTGAATTTTTTTTCTTTCTTTCTTTCTTTCTTTTTTTTTGAGACGGAGTCTCATTCTTCTTGCCCAGGCTGGAGTGCAGTAGCGTGATCTCGGCTCATTGCAACCTCTGCCTCAAGGGCTCAAGCGATTCTCCTGCCTCAGCCTCCCAGGTAGCTGGGATTACAGGTGCCTGCCATCACGCCCAGCTAGTTTTTGTATTTTTAGTAGAGATGGGGTTTTACCATGTTGGCCAGGCTGGTCTTGAACTCCAGACCTCAGGCAATCCACCTGCCTCGGCCTCCCAACGTGCTGGGATTACAGGCGTGAGCCACCGTGCCCAGCCATTACTTTTTTTACCCTGAAATAAAGGGGGATAAAATGTGAATTAAGACCATAAAGAAAAAAAATTTCAATTGGAAAATTGTACTTGAAGTAAAAAATAAATAAAAGGACAAACAAATGAGACAGGGAGACAAAGAAAATCCTAAGCAGCTTGAAATTGTAAAAGTTAATAGACAATACAACAAGCACTTAATAAAGTAAGTTTAATAAATTTATTAAAGATGGCCTACAGCCTTAAAATGCATTATTGTAGTTTAGCTCTGAAAATTATATCCGGGGATAAAGAAGAACATACTTCTTCTGTATCTGCTCTGCATTTAACTGTATTGGTTATCTAGATAAATAGTCCTGAAATACATCCTCAAAAGGTAAACCCCTTTCTACCTAGAAGTCATCAAAGGTTAAGCCTTACTATATATACCAACTCCCTTTTTACAACTTCTACTTTAAAATAAGTATTAAAAATTAAACTGGCTCAAATGAAAATATAAAACCAATAGTTAATCCTCATGTATTAAAACATGCACTGTTTATAATTAATTTGAGTGGGTAGAAAATAATGGCTGTTAATGTGTTTGTAAAGACACTCATGGCTTAGTAAAGTGTGTTTTTCATTTCAGCAACTGTTAATTCTGTTGGTACCAAGCCTCCCGACAGCCTATTGAGTACACAGTCGATATTTGTTACTGAATGAACATGGGTGCATTTGGAGTTCAGCTCCGTAATAACTGGTGTTTGCCATCACAGGACTTGCTGCACGTGAAGAGCGTGAAGGATATTTTAGCTCTCATCTTGGCTTTTGGAAATTATATGAATGGAGGAAATAGGACTCGGGGACAAGCCGATGGATATAGCTTAGAAATTCTGCCCAAACTCAAGGATGTCAAAAGTCGGGTATTTATTTTTCATAATAAGTTCCCATGATCTGCCATTATTTTCTTTCTTTACCTTTAATTTTAAAAAACGTATTCCAGATTGTTCCATTTATCTCTATCCTCCCCTTAACAACATTTATATTAGAGCATGCATTTTTTTGTTTGCTTTCTTTTCACTTTCGAATAAAGAGTTTTGTTTGGTTTTTTTTTTTCACGTTAGACTTTATTTTCAATTACTCAATTCCCATCTTCGTGTGCTCTGACATACACAATCAGGTATTGAACTGCTACTCAGTGAGAGAACAAAACAGATAGCATACAGTACCAGGATCCTGCAAAGGCTGGAGGCTGTTTGAGTTTAGTGTTGGCTACTAGTAGTTTACTCATTCCTGAATGGCAGAGCAATGTTGAATCACCAATTTTTTGCCACAACAATTGGGCTGGGGTCTACTGTCAAGCTCTCTGAGCCTGATTATCACTTGGCTCCACACCCCTGTGGCGCTACCTCTTTAGAAACAATCAGCCCATAGCTAGGCGTCCCATGGGGGGCAGGGGGGTGCAGGGAGGGGAAACACACAGGCAAATTAGAATTAGGCCCCAGTGAGCAGGACACAAAGGCTGCCTTGTGGGAGGGCCTGCTCCCCACTGGCCTCCCGGGGTCATAAAGTGGTGTGGTGCTCCTTTTAAGCTGGCCTGGATTGTTTTTCACACCATTAAGAACGCACATTTTTTGAAAGACGGGCAGGGAGGGTGCTTTTCTGTTCTAGGCCCTGGTTCCCTTTAGCATTCCCCGCACCTCCTGTCTTGGCTGTGTGCCAGAAAATACAAGGACACAACTTTTTTGTTTGTTTTAGCCATTATTTCAGAAGTTTTATGGATTATCTGTTTGTTTTTCCCCACAAAGGATAGTACAGTGTCATTTCTTTATGTAGCCAGCATAATAAATGGATGGGATAAAGCAGAGGAAGGAAAACCTTGCCAGCATCGAAGAGAAAGCCAGTTTTCACGAATTAGAAATTTCTCAACTGAGATTTCACCTCTCAACCGTGTAACATGACAGTCTCATGGGAATGATTTTCATGTACATTTCTCTTTTAAACCTAGGATAATGGGATTAATCTGGTGGACTACGTTGTTAAGTATTACCTGCGTTACTATGATCAGGTAAGAAATGGTATTACGTGGAAAAGTTTCACCTCTTACTCATTGTTGACATTCATAAGTTGGATGATGGATAGATGGATGAACGAACTGCAAGCCCAACATAGAATATGAGAGCTCTCCAGCGTGGTTTACAGATGAGCACACTGAAACCAAGAGAGTTTAGTTGACTTATGAAGAGAAGCATTATTCAGTGGTGTAAATCTACTGAGTCTCAATCGACTATAACACAGCTTCAGAGAGACCCCTAGCTGCCTCAGTGCTTTATGGCCAGATTGTGAGGTTCTCTGTGAAATCTAGATCCGCTCAGTAATTGGTTATAATTGAAACTGTATTCTGATGATGCAAAGCAAAATTTAGGAAAGTAAGACTCAGTAATACCCAATATTTTATCAGTAATGAATCTATGAACAGACTGAAGATGTAGAATTTGAAAAATCCATCTTTTCTGCTTAGAGGGCATTTGCAATTAGAAATAAACATTTCTGTGTGAGTCCATCTGAGCAGAATTTTCTATTTTATTCCTTCTTGTTAAATTGAGAACAAGGAGTTGTAATTTTGAGAAGAAAAAGGTATTGTTGTAAGATGTTAAGAAATATAGCAATCGATATGAATAGTAAAAGTCTCAAAGTAAATGCTGTCAGGACTTCTGCTTAACCATCCATGTAAGCATAATTGTTCCTAAGCATCGAGGGAAGAATAGTAGAGATCTCAGGGCCTTTCAATAGGCCTGCAGTTTCATCCAGAAGACAAGTGAGGCACTGATGAACTCCATAATACTTTCTTCTACCCTCCTGGTGGGCTTATCTAACTATTTTCAATATACCTACAGCCAGGCTCATCGTTTCCCCGCCCCCCAAACTTTTCCCTGATTTCTGTTAAGAATATCGTAGTTTTTGATAGTTTTTGGCTATTAAGGCATGAAACCTTGTCCTTCTCTGGCTACTCTCTGTCCTTCCACTGAGTTGTTTCTGATGTCCTTCCCTGTTTTGTTTTTTGTTTTGTTTTCCTGCCGACCCCAGCTTACCCAGGTTTTAAGACCACTCACTTGGAGAATTTCACTTGCTTTCCAGCTCAGCTCTCTATTTCGAGGTTCTACCACTCTAAGCCATCCCACACCCTCTTTACACAGCTCTGATCCTATTGCTTTTCTACTCAAAACAGAAGTGGCTCCCCATTTTCAAGTGAATTAGGACTCTACGAATTTAATTCCAATCTTTTACAACCTTGCTTTTATTACTTTCCCTCTACACGTATTCTGTGATCCAACTCAAGACCTGATGTTTTCCACACACACCCTGTGCTTTCTTACTAATGTGTTTTTACTTCTGATGTTCTCCCTCACTGAAAGTATCTTTGTCTCTAGCCTTTTTATAAAACTTCCTTTTTTTCTCATTACTCCTCTCTGGAAATAATAAATTTAAAGATTTTTTGGGAAAAAGTCTCCCAGTAACATTACCAATATATGTGTTACAGACTTAACCAGACAAGTACAGACCTTTGTGAATACATTCACGTAATTTTACTGAAAGCCATAAAAATTTAAAAACAGACTGAAGAAAAGAAAAACCCAATTTTAAAAATTGGGTAATGGGCTTGAATAGACATTTCTCCAAATAAGACAAACAAATAGCCAACAGGTGCCAACATCACTAATCATCCAGGGAAATGCAAATCAAAACCACAGTGAGATAGCCCATCATGCCTTTTAGGATGGCTGTTAATAAAAACTAAAACCAAAACCCTACCACATGGAAAATAGCAAGTGTTGACAAGGATGTAGAAAAAATGGAACCAGTTAGCACCATCAGTGGGAATATAAAATGGTGGAGCTGCTATGGAAAACAGTAGGGAGTTTCTTCAAAAAATTAAAAATAGAACTACCATATGATCAGACAATCTCACTTCTGGGTATTTATCCAAAAGAATTGAAACCAGGATCTCAAAGAGACATTTTCCCTCTCATATTCATTGAAACATTGTTCACAATCGCTAAGATTTGGAAACAAATCTAAATGTCTGTCAATAGATGAATAGGTAAAGAAAATGCGTATATGTACTAGGGAATATTATTCAACCATAAAGAAGAAATAAATTCTGTCGTATGCTGCAACATGGGGTCAGCCTTGAAGGTATTATGCTAAGTCAATATAATCCAGTCACAGAAGGGCAAATACTGCATGATTCCACTTAAATAAGTATCTAAAGTAGTCAAACTGAAAGGAACAGAAAGTAGAATGAATGATGCGGGAATGGGGAAATGGAGAATTGAGGATACGGCGTTTCAGTCACGTAAGATGAAGAAGTTCTAGAGATCTGTACAATAATACACATGGCTAACAATACTATACTGTACACTTAAAAATTTAAGAGAACAGATATCATGTTATAGGGGGTTTTTTTTGTTTGTTTTTTACCACAGTAAGGAGTGGCATTATGTCCTCTGTTGGAAGTACCAGTCAAAATTCTAATCAATCTTAGAAGTTTACAAAATAATTTTAAATATTATGTATAAAAATAATTAGACAAAAATTTGACCAGGATTTAAAAATGAAGAGAGAATCATTCATTTATATATTCTAATATATTATAGAGCTATAATAATTAAAAGTGTAGAATGATAGACTAACATCACAAAACTTAAGAACATGAAAAGGAAATCTCAGAAATGGATCTAAATAAATATGTGTCAAGTATGTGATAAAAGAGAAATTTCAAGTAATTGGTAAGAGGAAGAAATTGAATTATCTCCTAGATCTCATACCAGAGACCAGAGCAAAGTTTTAAAGAACAGAAGAGATAAATGTAGAAATAAATGAAAAATAAAATCAATAAGACATGACAAAAGTGTAGGTAAATAGTTTACTGATTTTGAAGTAGCAAAATCCTTTCGAAGTGTTCAGTCTAAGACACAAACCATAAAAGGTGAGAATGATGACTTTCAATGCATAAAACTAAAAAACTTCAATTCCTAATTAAAATTTTAAAATACTGTAGTATCTCAAAAATGACTTAAAACTAAATTCAAAATAATGTACTGGTAAAATGTTTACAACATAATAGACAATGAACTCGAGAATTAACAAGAAAAAAAACTTTCTTCCTTATTTTTAAAAAATGGCAAAATATATCACAGGCAATTTACAAAAGACATATAGAAGACATAAATTGCCAACTAGATATATAGAATTAGCACTGTAAATTGATCAAACCTTTCTCAGGACTGTCATGTATGGTAAATCAATATATTCTCTGTTTAAGGTCTCTAAGTCAAATGGGACTCATATTTAGCCTGCCGTTGATTCACCAAATTATACATCCTATAAAGGGCACACTTTAAAAAATTCACATAAAGATGCCATGTGCTTGTCAAGCTGTTTGCCCATAAAGCTGTTCCTACCTACAGGAACACATTTTCCTAATTTATACATGTATGCTTTATGGGCAAGCAAGGTTGTGTTTTTGTTTTTTTTTTTCCTTCCTCTTTTTGTTTCCCTTTTTTCCCACATTTTTTCATTTTTTCCTTTTTTCTTCATGTCAGACAGGTAATGTGTCCATATCTTAACAAGGTTCAATGGTGGCGCATCTCACACATGCATACGAACACCCAATCCATCACACTCATGAATCTCAGGATCATAAGCAAGGTTTTCAACCTTTCTGTATCAACAGCCCTAGAAATACGTGTAACCTTTTAAGAAATTTCTACCCTAAGAAAACAACTAAGGATTTAATGACTATTTACTTATAATAGCTTATGATAGCAAAATATTGGAAAAATTTTGGTAGGTGTACAATGATGGAGACCAAGGTCAAATAAATTATACTAGAGTCACACACTGGAATAATATACTCTTATGGAGAGTGTATAGGAGAGAATATAGTGGTATTAGAAAATAATTTTGATCTGCTTTTAATTTACAAGCAGTGTTTCAAAATAACATATAGTATAATACCAAATATGTAGTAGATAAATATAAATACACAGAATAACCTGAAAAAAATACATTAAAATGTTTCTGAATATTAGGATTGTAAGCGTTTTTTTTTTTTTAACTGTCTTCTCTCTTTCCATTACTAAACATAATGAACATGTATCACTTTTGTAAACAGGAAAAAAGATGTAGTGAAAAATAACTTAGTCTAATCTTACATGGCCCTTTTTTGAGGTCGTTATTAACATCCTGATCTTTGAAGGAAGGCTTTGAAGCCTGAGAAGTACTTTGTTTGAATCTTTCTCAAGATGCATCTTATTCTGCCTTGTATGTATATATGAGGAATTACCTATTATCTTGGCATTGGTTTTTGAGGTTCAGAATTCATTGTTGTCTCTCTTTTTTTTTTTTTTTAATTGAGATGGAGTCTCGCTCTGTCACCCAGGCTGCAGTGCAGTGGTGCAATCTTGGCTCACTGCAACCTCCGCCACCCAGGTTCAAGCAATTCTCGTGCCTCAGCCTTCCAAGTAGCTGGGACTACAGGTGTGCACCACCACACCTAATTTTTTTTGTATTTTTAGCAGAAACGGGGTTTCACTATGTTGGCCAGGCTGGTCTCGAACTCCTGACCTCAAGTGATCCACCCGCCTTGGCCTCCCAAAGTGCTGAGATTACAGGCATGAGCCACCATACCTGGCCATTGTCTCTTTTTTACTGCCTGTAATACAGGTGTCTGATAAAACTTGCTGAACTGGATATAATGTTAATATTCACAAACGTGTAATAAGTGGCATCTGTAAAGAACTAGATATGAGGAGATGAGAGCTGTTTTCTGGTGGAGTGAGGAAGGCATGTTTAGCTTCAGGAAATTAAGAAGCAGCAGCGGGCACATAAGCACATACCCTAGGTTTTGACAGCAGGTACTAGTGTGGCAGAAGAATTATCCTGAAGAATCTTTGAGGGTGACATTTCTAACCCTAGGTTGGCATGGGCAGATTTATTGGTAGTACCTACCCCAACCAAGTCAAATGCATTGTGTGGGAAGGCTGAAATATGCCTGTGGAATATAGTTGTGGTTGAAAAGAGCTGAACCCAGTGGAATCAACTTCACAGAGGAAAATCTTACAATGAGAACAGTTTCAAACATGGGATGGCCCAGTCTAGGAAAAATAAGCCCACAGTAGTGTGGTGCTCTTCTGGCTTTTACTGTGCAAAATGCATTTCACTCAACAAGAGGGTAGAATTATGTGATTTATGAAACTGGCCCTTTCCTCTAGGAGCCTAAGTGATGACTTTTTTGGTTAGTGGTGATGAGCAATTAGCTAAAGAAAGATGACTCCTGCTCCCTGCTTCCTTATTCTCATGCCTGGTTTTTGGTCCAAGTCTTGGTCTGTGAAATTTAAAGAAACCCATGTAGAGTCATGCCTTTTTAACTCTAATTAAGCAGCTTTCATAAGAGCTGCTACCAGCCTGATACACTCAGCAACATTTCCTTTTTTCTAGCGCGCGCACGAGCGCGCACACACACACACGCAATCAAAACCAGGACTGAATCTGATAAAGTTTTGGAAAATGGAAAGAGATACTATGCCTGAGTTCTTCCAGCATAGATTAGCATGGAGCTTTGTAGTGAGGATCTTAGATGTTGTTCCATCTTGGCACTCAGATGAGAGTACTGCTTCCATTTTAAAGTAGTAAAATAAGTATATGAAGATGGGGGAAAAAAGTACATTGTGTCTGATAAAATGAAGAAAACTACTGTATCCTAGTATCCCTAACAAAGCTAATGGCCTTAAAGAGGAAGGGTCAAGAGGATTCCTGAAACTACAAGAAAACATAGTGATAAATTAGATGTCTCCTGCTAAAGGTACATACATCTCAGAACCATGTTTTACAAGCCCTCTGTAGTAGTGCCCATCAACCAAAAATAAAGCTTATTGATATGCCAGATGTTGTTTACCATACCAAGAACAAGACACAGTTTCTGCCTCTGAGGTGTTTAGAGTCTAGTGGGGAAGATGTACAAGATAACATGGCAATTTAAAAATTAATGGTGATACATAAACTAGAAAACCTAGAAGAGATGGATAAATTGCTGGAAAAATACAATCCTCCTAGCTTAAATCAGGAAGAATTAGATACCGTGAACAGACCAGTAACAAGCAGCAAGAATTAAATGATAATTTTAAAATTACCAACAAAAAAAAAGGTCCAGGACCAGATGGATTTACAGCAGAATTCTACCAGACATTCAAAGGAGAATTGATAACAATCCTTTTGACACTATTCCACAAGATAGAGAAAGAGGGAAGCCTCCCTAATTTATTTTATGAAGCAAGCGTCACCCTAATACCAAAATCAGGAAAGGACATAACCAAAAACGAAAACTACAGACCGATATCCTTGTTGAACATAGATGGTAAAATCCTTAACAAAATACTAGCTAACTGCATCCAACAACATATCAAAAAGATAATCCACCAGGATCAAGTGGGTTTCATACCAGGGATGCAGGGATGGTTTTAACATACGCAAGTTAATAAATGTGATAACACCACATAAACAGAATTAAGAACAGAAATCACATGATCATATCAATAGATGCAGAAAAAGAATTCAACAAAATCCAGCATTCCTTTATGATTAAAACTCTCAGCAAAATTTGCATACAGGGGACATATCTCAATGTAATAAAAGCCATCTATGACAAACCCCCAGCCAACATAATATTGAATGGGGAAAAGTTGAAGGCATTCCCTCTGAGAACTGGAACAAGACAAGGATGCCCACTCTCGCCACTCCTCTTCAACATAGTACTGGAAGTCCTAGCCAGAGCAATCAGACAAGAGAAAGAAAGGAAGGGCATCCAAATCAGTAAAGAGGAGTTCAAACTGTCACTGTTTGCTGATGATATGATTGTTTACCTTGAAAACCCTAAAGACTCCTCCAGAAAGCGCCTATAACTGATAAAATAATTAGCAAAGTTTCAGGATACAAGATTAATGTACACAAATTAGTAGCTCTTCTGTACACCGACAGTGACCAAGCAGAGAATCAAATCAAGAACTCAACCTCTTTTACAATAGCTGCAAATATATACATATATATATATGTGTGTATAGTAATATACCTAAGGAGTCAAAAGACCTCCACAAGGAAAACTACAAAATATTGCTGAAAGAAACCGTAGACAACACAAACAAATGGAAACCTATCCCATGCTCATGGATGGGTAGTATCAATATTGTGAAAAGGTAGAATTAATATTGTGAAAATGACCATACTGCCCAAAGCAATCTACAAATTCAGTGCAGTCTCCATCAAAATACCACCATCATTCTTAACAGAATTAGAAAAAAACAACTCTAGGCTGGACACGGTGGCTCACGCCTGTAATCCCAGTTGGAATGCCGAGGCAGATCAAGAGGTCAGGCGATTGAGACCATCCTGGCTAACATGGTGAAACCCCGTCTCTACTAAAAATAAATTAGCTGGGCGTGGTGGCGGGTGCCTGTGGTCCCAGCTGCTTGGGAGGCTGAGGCAGGAGAATGGCGTGAACCCGGGAGGTAGAGCCTGCAATGAGCCAACATCGCATCACTGCACTCCAGCCTGGGCGACAGAGCGAGACTCCGTCTCAAGAAAAAGAACTCTAAAACTCATACGGAACCATAAAAGAACCCACGTGGCGGGAGCCAAGACTAAGCAGAAGAGAAATTTGGAGGCATCACACTACCTGATTTCAAACTATACTATAAGGCCATAGTCAGTCACCAAAACAACGTGGTACTGGTATAAAAATAGGCACATAGACCAATGGAACAGAACAGAAAACCCAGAAATAAACCCAAATACTTACAGCCAACTGATCTTCAACAAAGCAAACAAAAATATAAAGTGGGAAAAGGACACCCTTTTCAACAAATGGTGCTGGGATAATTGGCTAGCCACATGTAGGAGAATGAAACTGGATCCTCATCTCTCACCTTACACAAAAATCAACTCAATGGATTAAGGACTTAAATCTAAGACTTCAAACTATAAAAATTCTAGAAGATAACATTGGAAAAACCCTTCTAGATGTTGGCTTAGGCAAGGATTTCATGACCAAGAACCCACAAGCAAATGCAATAAAAACAAAGATAAGTAGTTGGGACTTAGTTAAACCAAAGAGCTTTGGTACCTCAAAAGGGGCAACCTAAGAGTAGAAGAAAATCTTTACAATCTATACATCTGACAAAGGACTAGTATCCAGAATCTACAGTGAACTCAAATCAGTAAGAAAAGAACAATCTCATCAAAAAGTCGGCGAAGTACATGAATGGACAGTTCCCAAAAGAAGATATACAAATGGCCAACAAACATGAAAAAATGCTCAACATCACTAATGATCAGGGAAATGCAAATCAAAACCACAATGCGATACTGCCTTATTCCTGCAAGAATGGCCATAATCAAAAAATCAGAAAACAGATGTTGGCATGGATGCCATGATCAGGGAACAGTTCTACACTGCAGGTGGGAATGTAAACTTGTACAGTCAGTATGGAAAACAGTGTGGAGACTCCTTAAAGAACTGAAAGTAGAGCTGTCATTTGATCTAGCAATCCCACTACTGGGTATCTATCCAGAGGAAAAGAAGTCATTATATGAAAAAGATACTTGCACGTGCATGTTTATAGCAGCACAGTTCACAATTGCAAAATCATGGAACCAACCCAAATGCCCATCAGTCAAAGAGTGATTAAAGAAACTGATATATATATATACAATCGAATACTACTCAGCCATAAAAAGGAATGAATTAACAGCATTTTCGGCGACCCGGATGAGATTGGAGAATATTATTCTAAGTGGAGTAACTCAGGAATGGAAAACCAAACATCGTATGTTCTCACTGATATGTGGTAGCTAAGCTATGAGGATGCAAAGGCATAGGAATGATACAATGGACTGTGGGAACTTGGGGATAAGAGTGGGAGGGGGATGAGGGATAAAATACTACAAAGAGGGTGCAGTGTATATTTCTTGGGCGATAGGGGAACCAAAATTTCACAAATCACCACTAAAGAACTTACTCATGTAACCAAATACCACCTCTACCCCAATAACTTATGGGAAAAAAATTAATGGTGATAAATGCTGTGATAATGTAAGCGTCATAGGCCTTTGGAGAACAGGGGAGAAACACCCACGTGCTGGAGGTTAGGGGAAATCTTTAAGGAAGGACGTTTGTTTTAAGACTTAAAGGATGAGTATGAACAAGGAAGTGTAAGGAGGCACTAGGGAAGGGTCGGAAAGGGACCATTTTATAGACAAAGGCCTAGAAGCAAGAGATTGTGGTCTGTTATTTCATGAAGGTCTAGAGGGAGTTGGAGATAGGGGGAAGGTAAAAATGAGGCCAGAGATGTAGACAGAGGCCAGATCATAAAGTGCCTTGTAAAGCAGTTTTAGAGTTTGGAATTAGTCCTAATGGCAGTAGGGAAGATGGAATGTGAAGGAAAGCTGGCAAAGTAGCCTGTGCAGAGAGAGGAATAATTGAAGACGGCCTAAGACATGCAAGATACAAAGCTTACGTTAAACAACTCAGGGAGAAAGCTAGCTAGACTGGAAAAGATATTTGAGGCTCATGTGCCTGAAGCTTTTGTCCTTCAAGATGTTTCTCAGCTGAGAATTCTCCATTAGCTATAGCAGTGGAGCTTGTTAAAACTATACTTCACCCTGCCCTCGGTCTCCTAAGATAAGCCAGACAACATTTGCAAAAGCTTTTCAAATATATGAAGAATTTTGGGGAAGCCAAGGCTGGAGGATCGCTTGAGCCCAGGAGTTAGAGACCAGCCTAGGCAACATGGTGAGACCCCCGTCTCTACAAAAAATTAAAAATTAGCTGGGTATGGTGGCACGTACCTGTGGTCCCAGCTAATAGGCTGAACTAGAAGGATCGCTTGGACCTGGAAGGTCAAGGCTGCAGTGAACCGTGATTGTGTCAGTGCACTCAAGCCTGGGTGACAAAGCAAGGCCCTATCTCCAAAAAAAAAAAAAAAAAACCTGTGTATATGTGTAGATACACCCATATACAAAGAATCTGATCATGCATGCACACAGAAGAGCTTTAAGCCACAGAGAAAGGTGAGGAAAGGTGATGGGAGGGTGATTGTATCTTCCATTGCAGTGCCTTCTTATCCAGCACCTTCTGATTCACACCCATTGGTATGCCCCAAAGATGACTTGTCTAATTGCTAGCATGTGTAAATCAAATGGGGACTTCAAATGTAAGTACTTTCATGTGTTCCCCTCTTCCATTTTTCATGGGAGTGGAGTGTCCAAGATCAGGACGACCTGACAATTTTCTCTTTGATTCATGAGGCAAAATAGAACCTGGCCCATGCCATAGCCGACCTCATTGCCAATAAGTCCAAAAAGAGATTGTGAAAGACAAGAAAGCACTTCAAAGTCACAAGTCCAAATTTAGGAATAGCAGAGGAGCATTGCTATGATTCTTACTCAGACATCCAATAAAAAAGCTTTTTTTTTTCTCATTGATGCTTTGGAATTTCAACTGAAAGTGACAATTGGGAAGTATAATGTACTTTTGTTTACCATATCTCTTAGGAAGCTGGAACAGAAAAGAGTGTTTTCCCCTTGCCGGAACCACAGGATTTCTTTCTGGCCTCCCAAGTCAAGTTTGAAGACCTCATAAAAGATTTGAGAAAACTGAAGAGGCAACTAGAAGGTAATAGGAACTGTTCTGCTATTATGATAATAGCTAAGATTACTTTTAAAAAATGTTTTAAGAGGATTATTTAGGTCTGGTTCATAGAGTGGGATTGGTGCAGAGTTCAGCAATGGTACACTACAGCTTTCAGGAAACTTTCCTTCTCTACACAGTGTGTAGAGGCACTGTATTTTCAAATTCTTCTCTTTTATTAGTGTTGATCATTTGTTTCTTATATCCATATCTCGTTATATCTACATTTTCTAACATTTAGTAGTTATAACATTATTAATGATAATAGCAGTAACCATTTACTAGATGCTTACTGTTGTCTCATATAACAATCTTAATAAGCTGGAACTACACTAAACCCATTTTACAGATGAGAAAAATGAGGCTTAGAGAAGTTAAGTTCACACAGCCAGTAATAGACAGATTTACTGAGCTCTAATCAAGTCTAATCAAGTCTGTCTAATTAGAACTCACATTTTCTAGTTTCTAGTTTCTAGAACTTACACATTAGCTAGTTTACTCTGCTGCTTTAAATATATATGTATATCATACATATCGTACACATACACACATGTTCCTGTATGTTTGGTTTATATATGAGTCTAATAATGATGGTAAGGCCCACAGTAAACATTCCATTTTAGTTTAATTTACATTTTTAATTAGTCAAAAGAAAATGCTGAAAGCCCCTTTTTGGCTTTTTTAAAAGGTGAAAATATGTCTCACTTGGGCAGGAATTTTCCTTTGGCATTTCTAGAGTCTCGTGTTTTTACTGTGGAGACATCTCCTTGTCCAAGAATATAAATACTTGCCTTGGAGCTTGTATAACTCCAATTGAAGAGCTCTGCGGAGGATTTAGAGAGCGTGTTAATGTGGAAATGGAGCCCAGAGTGCCAGAAGCAGAGCTTGAGGAAATGAAGGGCTTCAACCAGGAATATTTTAAGACCAAGACATAAAGTAAACATTTTTAAAATGTTTATTGTGAAAGAGTACTCAGAAACCTAAGTCTGAGGCTGAGAACAGCTTGGAAATGGAAGTAAAGTGGGAAAGATCTGCTCCCGGTGGCAAAGAGAGCCATTTATTTTTACTTTGGGCATAAAACTTACATGGAAAGGATAATGGTTACAGGTGAATATTTTTATCTTGTATATTATTTTTAAAGGAACGTGGGTTTTTTTTCTCCCATTGATGTGGTTGAATGAATTCAAACAAATGGATGCTTCCTTTAGAAATGCGATATGTGAACTTGCGGTCGTTATTTTCTGTCTCCTGAAGAATTGGCGGTTGTATCCTTGTTGAAGTTGAGGAGCTTGATTAATATTGTAATAAAGCGTAGTAAGCTACCAGCTAGCATTTTTGTCTGTCCCTCTCCACTGGTAGAATTAGGGCCCAGGCTGGTCCTCAGTGTGGCAGCAAGAGTTAGCAATGGCAGGGGAGCTTGTTTGCTCCACGGCTGTTCCTGAATGCCCATTCCCTCTTGTCTCTTGGCCCCTTGTGAAACCCTTGGCCTGACCTCTCCTATAGTCTTTGAGCCGAAACCTGATCCCTGTTTGATCTTTTCCCTTCTCCTTCCAGGGGCTGCCTCACTTTGACGTCCCTGTACGTTTGATGATAAATAGCAAGAGGATAAGAGGAGTGAACTGGGAGGCGAGCAGAGAGACAAGGGTTCCCCCATAGCGCCTCACTTTGGTACACCTTCTTTTGTCTAGGGAGGCTCTGAATTGTCGTTCCGGATCTCTCAGTACTCAACTGACACTTTCCTCAGCCGATTTTAGGAAAATACAAGAGCTTTTGAAGCAGGTAGAGCGGCCTTAGGAAAGAAAACTGAACATTGTCTCAGTTACTTTTCTTCTTTGTACCAGGCTTCACCAAAACACATGAAGTACCACAAAGGCAAATGAGGAAATGACTCCCCCCACCTCACACACATGGAATATTTAAACAAAAATGCCCTGCTAATCTTTAGAGATGCCAGTGTTTTCAACACATGAAAGGTACCCAGTAAATATTTAAAGAAAATACACACCGTAGGTTCTCTAATGAATTTCTTTTTCTTCTAAATACCATCTGGCAAGATGGCCAGAATCGTGGCGGTCCGTTTCATCTTAACGTTTCCATTCAGGTTTCACCTCCTTTTCCATAAGGCCTTGGTGTGAGCTGAGATTGAATGTTTAATTGAAGAGGACATAATTTTCACACATACAGCAAAGATTTGATGAGGCTTTGAGGTTTATTGTAGCCATTAAAGTGTCGTAGCTGCTGGCAAAATCCCAGAAAATGTCTAAAGCTAAACCAGATGTGATTAGCAAATTTCAAGAAGTATCAGGCCCTAGATCTCCAGGCAGGCAGAGTCTTTTAAAAAAAAAAAAAAATAGTATTAACACACCTTAACCTAATGTGAATTAACCTATGGTTATTGGTCATACTAATGTCACTGATTTAAGTAGAAGTTGTCATTAAGCATCTTTCAGAGAGGCAAGAACTTTGAATGGCATTTTTATGCAGGTAAACGTAGCATGGAATTGATAATAGTATCAACTGCAACTTATTGTGTCATTATTATCTATCAAGTGCTTTATCTATATCACCTCTTTTAATTCTGCAGTGACCTTGTGAGGCAGATACTATTTTTGACTTCTCACAAGATAAGAAAGCTGAAGTTTGTGGTGCTCAAGTAATTTGCCAGTGTTTCAGAGGTGATGATCTAGTCAAGTTTTGAAACTAGATACGACTTCTAAGGCATGTGTTCAATACATATCACGCCTGTGACCCAGAAGTCACCACATCTGATTGGAGATCAGACAGAAAGTTTTGGCATTCAAAATGTGAAGCCTCATGAAGAAAAAAATTAGAGTTACTGAACATATATACACAAGCATGCACACGTGTGCACACACTCCCAAAACCACACATGTAGACTGTCAGATCAGATAGAGTCACAGGAAGGAACTTGCTTTGGGTTGGAATTGGAAAGGGGAAGAAGTCCAGGTAGATGGATTGTCAAATAGACATACAAATAGGCACATTACATAGGACTAAGATCAGGCTTTGAGTTCAGATGTGTATGTTTTACTGGTTCAGTGAAAGTAACAGCTTGTCAAGTAGCATAATCGTAGAAAGTATTCACTTTCTCACCTGTAAAATGGGACAGTTATAGGACCTGCATCATAGGAAATAATGTCTGCACAGTTTCTTAGTGAGGGCAGCTTCAATAAAGCTGATTAAGGGCATGTACCTTTCACTGGAAAGTGCACAGCCTGTATAATCAGCCGGTGTTGCTGAGAGGCCAGCTGGCTATGTTTGTGGAGTATCTAATTCACAGAGCACTTGTGCTTGCTTCTCTACATTGTAAAGAGAGAACCAAGTTCTTGGTGCTTGGGAACATGTTCCATATTTTGTTTATTGTTCTACATCCCTTAACAAGACAATAATTTCAATTTCCCTGATACTGTGAAGTTGTAAGCAATAATTGAGAAAACACAAACAATGGCAATAGTTACTTTCATTCTCCCTCTTTGTCCTTGCTGGCTGGAACTCTCAGGGTGTTCTTACCCACCCATATGTGGTAGGCAGAATAATGCCCCCCAAGGATGTCCAAACCCTAATCCCTAGAATCTGTGAACATGTTGCCTTACATGGCAAAAAGGGACTTTGCTGATGTTGACATGGGGAGATTATCCTGGACCGTCCAAGTGGGCCTAATCTAATCACATGAATCTTTAAAGTCAGTCTTTAAACGCTGAGGACTTTCCCTGGCTATGATCAGAGGGAGATATAACGACGTAAGAATGATCAGAGAGATGTAATGTCGCTGGCTTTGAAGATGGAGGAAGTGGGCCGTGAGCCAAGGAATGTGGGAAGCCTCTAGAAGTGGAAAAGGCAAGGAACAGATTCTCCCTAGAGCCTCTAAAAGGGAGTACAGCCCTGTCAGCACCTTGAGTTTAGCCTGTGAGTCCCATGTCAGACTTCTAACATATAGAACTAAAAGGTGATATATTTCTGGTGTTTTAAGCCTCCTAAGTTTGTGCTAATTTATTATAGTAGCAATCAGAAACTAATACACCAAGGAGTGGACTCTTCTTTCTGATTGCACCAGTTAATACCAGAGACAGACACACACACATACACAAACACACACATGCGCGTGCAGCATTGCTGAAACTATAGATGTAGGATTCGTCAAATAGTAGCACCTAAAAATATTACCTGAAATGTGAACTGGAACTGTTGTTCTCTGAAAGAGTCTATGATCAAATAAACCTGGACATGCTCTGTACGAAAATCATATCCTAGGGATTCAAAGCACATGAGCTTATTAAAGCCTCTGGGAAGTTCTGTAGTTAAAAAAAAGTTTAATGCTGTTTAAAACAGCATTTCCTAACTTAAAGCATGAAACATTGGCTTGCTTTCTTTTCCCTTTCATTGTCTACTTAGTAATATTTTTACAGAGCATAAGTTGTGTAAAAGGTACTTTAAGAAGAAAGGATATTGATTGTACTAGCAACACGGTTGTTGGTGAAATGATATTACTGGGTCCTGCCTGCAGGAGTCAGGATCTCTAGTAACGTAGGGGAGGGCAGGTCTGACTTAGCAGAAACAAGGCCACATGTCATTACTTACCGCTTGATCTCATTCTTTTTTTTTTTTTTTTTTTTTTTTTTTTTTTTTGAGATAGGTTCTTGCTCTATTGCCCAGGCTTGAGAGTAACAGCACAATCATGGCTCACTGAAACCTCAATATTCTGAGCTCCAGCAATCCTCCTACCTCAGCCTCCTAAGCAGCTGGGACTACAGATGTATACCACCACGCCCAGCTAATTTTGTAAATTGTATTTTTTGTACAGACAGGGTCTCACTGTGTTGCCTAGGCTAGTCTCAAATTTCCTGGGCTCAAGCGATCCTCCGGCCTTGGCCTCCCATAGTGCCAGGATTACAGGCATGAGCCACCACTGGACCTGATCTTACCCTTGATCAGTTTTGTTTTCATTTTCATTTGGGGTTATGTGTGATGTCCTTTTCTCTTCCTATTACTGCAGTTGATCAAGAGTTGACTATGAGTAGGAGGGAGGAATGCTAAGAACTGGTTGCTAATCTAATGGATATTCAACTTTGTGTTACTGTGGGAGGGGAAACGGTTCCTCTGTCCCTGCTCTTCAGCAGCTTTTAATGCAAGTTTGCCTCGTCACCATCCTCTTTGATTCTGGCTTCTTACAGCCATGCTGGCTCTTGTTCTGTCAGGAATCAATGTATCTGTCCACTCCGATGAAAGTGTGGCCCTTGCCTGAGTCAGTCAGTGCTATTGGGCCCCAAAGAGAATTTAAGAAAGTGTTTCCTGTTGATATTATCTTAGGAAGCAAAATGGTTCTTCCTTACTCTTAGGGTTGTCAAATTTATTAAATAAAATTCAGGAGGCCCAATACTTTTCTTTCAGGGTTTTTTTTTAAATGTAAGTGTATCTCAAATATTGCATGGTACACACTTACACTAAAAAATTTTTTCTTATCTGAAATTCTAATTTAACTTGGTGTACTGTTTTTTATCTGGCATGTCTGTAGAGAATCTAAAAGCAATAATAAAGTCAACTAGAAGTCAGTTCGTTTTTTATTATCATTATGCACTAGCAATTCTAAACAATGGCAGCAATAAAATTCTCCTCCCTACCAGTGTAGACAGTGGACAAAGGGTCTATAAATGTGGTTAAGGGTGTGGCGTGTGTCCATTTCCACCATCACTAATGACAACACTTACCATTTAATGAGCACTTAATACCAGCAAATTTGCTTACATCATTTCTATTTCTTAAAACTCCTTCAAAGTAAGTGTTATTACCTGTGTTGTTACAGTAAGGAAGTGGAAGTTACTTTGCTACTACTGGCAAAGCTGAAATTTGAAACAGGTTTATCTGTGCCGTACTTTGTTCCTTTACAGTTTGCAGGCTCACCCTAAAAGCACAAAAAATGTGATCCAGAATGATAAAGTTTGAAGAATAAGCCCCACTTCGTTCTGTGGCTCATCTTCTAAAGGGACTACAGATAAAAATTGGATTGAATTCAGGCTTTCTCTTGTCTCTACATACAACCACTCAACCAGTCTGCCTATTGTAGTCTCTCTCCTTCCACCTCCTGCCTGTCAATATTTTTCAGTTTCTCTGACTCCCTCTCTGTCTCTCTGACATTGACCTAGCCTCTGTTTTATTCCTTCGTGACCCAAAAGAAAGCATACTAGTCTGATGTGGCTAACTGAACTAATAGCAGAGGACTAAAGGGCCATCCCTGGGCAACCTGCAAGGTTTTGTTATCTCTTCCATGTGTGGAAGTTAGATGTATTGGGCTCCTGATGTAGATGAGAAGGTAAGGGAATTTTCCAGAACTTGTCAAGTCACATAAGAGGGTGAGCTATGCTTCCTGTGCTCAAGACCAGCCCTGACCCTGCAAAACGAATGACCTCTGCCACCTGGTGTCTTCAAGTGGCTTTCCCTCCATGAGAGTTTAAATGCTTCTTGTAAGAGGAAAAAAGACAAAAATTAGATCTTGTCATGAGGGTGAAAATTTTCTTTAATTACTAATTAAAACATGGCCCATAAACAACAATATGGTTCTAGTAAGGGGGAAAAGTCACTTTGGAAACCTTTTGGAGGACTTTGGTGGAAACGTCATTGATTGAACACTCATCAAGGACTGAACACTCATGGAATTTCAGTTCCTTTTGAAAATTTCTAGAACGATAGTAGAATTCTTTAAAAGCATCAATTTTAAAGCATAGAGAGAACCACAAAATTTTGGAAACTCAAAAACAGATGTATACATGATAAATGAATTAATCAAACAAGAAAGCTGAATTCTAATCCAGGAGTGATAGGAGGTGAGAAGCAATCCAACTTTTACTATAAGACTTACATGTACCACAAGTTTGTGCATATTTATACAAACATGCAGAAAGTCATACATATTTGTACATAAATTAATACAGTCATTTAAAATGTCTAAAAATGTTGGATGAGTTCCTAATTTTAAAAGGCCTAAAAAGTTTTAATGTTTTAATAATAGTATAAATCTGTTTTACTCCCCCGTATTTGATTAATATACAAAATATACAAAAAATATGCAAAAACAAAAAACCCCACAATGAAATGAAGCTTTGTGAATGGCAGTTAAGTTTCAATGGCATAGGCTGGGGTGTTGACAATAGCACTGAACTAGGATTTAGGAGACAAAAGTTTAAAGTTAATTCTGCCACTTACCATGTGATATTTGACTAATATGGGGGAAGTAAAACAGATTTATACTATTACTAGAACATTTCAGAATACTTAGGACAAAAAGAAAAGCTCACCCCCTTCTAGGAGTAGGTGGGATGTGGGGATGGATTACACACACAGTCAGGAAACAGAATGACTTCAGACTTTTCAGTAGCATTACTAAAAGCTACAAATGCATCAGGATTCTGAAGAAAAATTATTCCCAGTCCAGAACCTTATATCCACCAAACTATTAGTCAAATATGAGGACAGATTAAAAACATTTTGAGACATGCAATTTCTCAAAATACTTATCTCCCATACAGTTATCTTCAGGATGCTACTAAAGAAAGTGCTGTCCCATTAAAGAGGAAGACATAGGTCACAGGAAATAAAAATTCAGTGGAGAAGGAAGGTGAATGGAGCCTCCAGCACAGAGAAAAAGCCCAGGATGGCAGCCAGACATTGAAAGAAAACATTTCAGATTTGATTAAGTCAAAAGCATCATGGAGAAGGTTCTTAAGGAATACACAATTAATACATCTAATATATCTGAACGTTTGGACAAGAGATTTTATACAACTAGTAACAAGTGTGAGGTTCATTTAACGTTAAGCTCATAGAAAACAAACTAAATCAGAAAAAAAAATTCTGAGAGCAAGTGTGAGAGAAAGAGGAAATGTGCGGGAAATGTGGAATAATCAGAGTTTCCATATATCAGCTGGGACTGCGAGTTGTTTTTGCAAAGTCATAATAATGTCAACACCAAACGCTAGTCTAACCAAGTCATGGTACCGTGTGCTATATTGGGGTGATGGAAGTGAAGAGGCGGGAGTGAAGGAAAGAACTACATCATTTATAGTTGATAAAGAGAAAAATAAAAAAAAAACAATAGAAGCTTGTTAGAGACATACTACTAAGCACCAAATAATCACATAAAATTGGTAAAAGAGGTAGCCTCTGAGGAGGAAGAATTGAGGAAATGGTGGGGTGGAGATGGGGGACTGCTGTTCTTAAAGTGCATAGAATGTACTGATTCTTTAAACTGCGTGCACGTATAACTTTGACAAATACATAAAAACAAAAAATCCCACAATGAAACAAAGCATTTGTGAATTTGTTAAGTTTCAATGACAGAGGCTGGTGTGTTGAAAATAGTACTGAACTGAGATTTAGGAGATGTAAGTTTAAAGTTAATTCTGCCTCTTATCACATGATAAACCATGCACTTTGCCACATCACTTAGCCTCTGTGACTCTCAACTGAAAAAAAAAATGGAGCCGATCATACTTCTGGATTCTGCCCAACACAAAGGGATATTGAAAGGGTCAGATGAGGCGATGCCTGAGGAAGTACCTCAGGAGGTGTGAGGTAGTACTTAAATTCCTGAGAGGCCTTGCAGTCTGCACTTTACTCAATGGATGCTGGTGTGTTCTAGAAGGGAGAGCAGGGTATTGATCATTAGGACAGGTCTGGCTAATTTATCACCTTTTGGGAAGCTCCAGAAGACATGACTTGAATGATTATTGACCATGTCTAATTTATTAGCTCTTTCCTCCTTCACAGCCCATTTGTCCACAGCAGTAGTTTACTAAGTCTGAGCTCTGGTACGAGACTGGATACATTAGCCAGAGTCCTGACCATGTTGCCATGGTGTTAAAAATATTTAGTTTTGCAAGCAAAGTTTTAGAAATAATAAAAAAAACTTTGATATGATTTATTTTTGTAAAATGATTTCAACAAAACAGACCTAAGGAACTGGGATAAGTATTTCAGAAAAGCAGTGGGTGTAAAATGTGGATCGGCATGGTGACTTTTGATGCAAAGCATTCAATTAATTGAGCATGGTGACTAAAGGTCACACATTTCCCAAATGAAATGCCTTCAAAGACAAGTTGTACAGAAAGGAGAGAGGAAACTGAAACTTGATTCATCCGTTTAATTAATGGAAGAAGTTTGTGTTTTCCTTTGAAGCTGTGATTGTGACATTTCTAGGTGGGAAGGATGAGTTATGTTGTCCTGGTTTCCTCCTCTCAGTTTGCACCCTCTATTTCTACCCTCTATTTTATAAAAACACGTGGTTAATAGAATGTGTTTTGTTGAGTTTTTTTCTTTGACAAGAAACATAAAATATTGAAATAAAAGCTGCAATCATAGAAAAGTCTGGGTCAGAAGTCCTGAATTCAAATCCTTGCTTCACAAGCTTTGTAACCCTTGGCAAATCATTTCATCCCTGACATTTCAGTATCCTCATATAAAAATGAGTGTAAGGCTACCTGCTCCACTGATTGTTTAAGAGGATTTACTGGGATCCCACAAAGGAAATCCCTTTTCATAGCATATGCCAAATGTGTCATACTTTTCCTTGATTCCTTTTGTGCTCTCATGTCTGACAGCTAGTCCTGTTGACTCTTAACTTCAAAAAGTGTCTGGAATCAATTCATTGCTCTCCATCTCCACACCTACTGCTTTTGTAATCCAAGCTACCACCTTCTCACCTGGCCCATATCAAGCAGGTTTCTCTGCTTCCACTCTTGGTCTTCCTTTGTCTCCACCTGCCGCATAGGTCACAGCACTCTGTTATTTCATCTTCATTCCTCTTGGAATCAAATCCAACCTCATACTCATGCCGTACAAACTGATTTAACCACTTCTGCCTTTCCAGTCTTCTCTCACACCACTCACCCCTCCTGCCCACTAAACTCCAGCCACACGGGCCTTCTTTGTGTTCCAACACGATGTACTTGTTCCTGCTCTAGGATCATTGCAGTAGTGGGTCCCTCTCCTAGAAAGCCCTTCTGCCAGATAGGCCCATGCTCTGAGCCTTCCTTGCCCACCCACTCTTCAGGAGGCACTTTGAATAGGCACTGTCTATTACAGCCTTCGTTTTTCATATTACTTTCACATATTCATATTTCATATTATTTTCTATTTATTTGTTTGTAAATTTTCTCTTCCTCCACCAGCTTCATGAAGGCAGATATATGACCTTTTTTATGTTTATATTTACTGTGCTGGTCAGCACTTTCCACGTATTTGTTGTCAATATTTGGTAAATGGGTGAATGAATGAGCAAATGAACAATGGAAGAAATGACTCAACTTCAGATAATCGCTGACTCTGCTATTAGTGAGAAATTAGATCACTTCCTTATGGCCAAAGATGTCAGATAAGCATCCGTGAGTAGAATCTTTTAGAGGGACAGATTTTAAAGCTGTCTGAAGAGAAAACTGATGGCCTTGAGCAGTAGTGGGTTCCTCACCCACTGCTTGCTGGAAGATTGTATTATGTGGGTGGGTAGAGGAGGTACCATTAGACAAGTAGTTTGCTAGATGATTTTGAAGGTATATTCCAACTCCTGAATTTCTGAGATGATTATTCTTACTATGCTATTTCAGTGCATTCTATAATTCTCCTTGTTCATGAAGGGTTACTGTATTGAATTCCTCCCTAGACTGACTTAATTAGAACAACTGAAAAATCCTAGGAATTCTGACCATTTGCAAGACTTTTTTTTAAAAAGTCAACTTTCAAATTATATCAGGCTTGCATCTCAGGTATTCTCTTTGTAAATGACTCTGAACAATCTCTTGAATTAATTCATGCCTCAAAAATTCTTGTGTTGATACCATCTATCCTTTTTTTTTTTTTTTTCCTGAGACAGCATATTGTTCTGCCACCCAGGCTGGAGTGCAGTGGCGCAATCTCGGCTCACTGCAACTTCCGCCTCCCGGGTTCAAGCGATTCTCCTGCCTCAGCCTGCAAAGTAGCTGGGACTACAGGCACCCGCCAGCATGCCCAGCTAATTTTTTGTATTTTTAGTAGATACTGGTTTTCATCATATTGGCCAAGCTGGTTTCAGACTCCTGACTTCAGGTGATCCACCTGCCTTGGCATCCCAAAGTGCTGGGATTACAGGCGTGAGCCACCATGCCCAGCTGATACCATCTGTCTTTATAGAGCAGAGCGCTTATCCAGTGTGGTAGGTTAATGGAAAAAAAATTGGCCAAAATTGGGAATCATGGAAAATGACACTTGTATCCCTTAACACTTTAACTTACAACAAATTAAATGTTGTATCCTTTGTCTGTATTCTGATGCAGGGATGAAGCTTTTACTTGAATTATGAATCTGTCGAATGCAGTCCTATAGGTCTTCCCTACATACTCCATAATGACAGCATCTGTAATTTCCCTACTGTATTTTTAAAGTTCAGTAAAGACTCTTGCAAATATCACCATAGAATCTTTCTAGATATTTATAATTGTTCTCAATCTTTTAAAACTGTGTTTCCCACACTTTTTAAACAATACACTTTAATTTTTATTTTGGAATAATTTTTAAATTGCAGAAAAGTTGCAAAGAGTAGAGAGTTCTCATATAGCTCTTGTCAGTTACTTTCCCCATTCTTGGCATCTCACACTGCTGTGATCCATTTGTTAAAACTGAGAAACTGGCAATGATACATTTAGATTGACTGAATGCTAGTTTTTATATGGATTTCACTGGTTTTTCCATTTTTGTCCCCTTTCTGTTCCAGGACCTAATCCTGACTACCACATTGCATTTAGTTGCCATGTTTCCCCAGTTTCCCCTGGCCTTCTATACCTACATTTAACAGCAATATTTTAGCTTCTTTCATTAAAACTTATAGAAATAGTACCTTTTGACAGTCATATATCTGGTTTACCATCAAGTCATTAAATTACATAATTTCAATAAAAAGAACAACAGGAATAAACAGGTTTAGAAACAACACAAGTGCTTTTGATCAGGATTCTGCTCAATAGCTGGAAGACTGAATCAAGTATGAGGACTGGAAAATAGCATTAATTTGGCAAGTTCATTAACAAAGTATCCTTGATATTTCCTGTTTTTTTGGTTTTTTAAAGGTACTCTTGTAATTATAATGGTGATACTTTACCTGCCTATGGTGCTTCATCCTCCCAAGTGAGTAGGGCAGGCATATGCAGCTTGGAAAACAGAGTCTTCGAGATAGGAAGCACCATGGCCGGGATCACCCAGCCAGGCACAGAACTCAGGTCCTTGACTGCCAAGCCAGCGCCCAAGATACCATACCATGAGCTTGTATTGGGTCAAAATATTTTCTTCACAGAAATAGAGTAGTGGATAGTTTTGTGAATATCAAAATACTTTTTCTGCCTAAGTAAGTTGTATATCTTTGACTCTGTGGAAGATTCACAATCCACAGAGTGATTCTTCTCATGTCAGTCAACCAAATGAGTGAAGTTAGAGGGAGACCTCCTTAGCCCCTGCAAAGGGGACTGGAGTTTTTGCCAATATCCTTATCTCTCCTAGATTCTTTCCCAGATAGCTCAACCTCAGCGTGGCTCCTAGGTGGATAGGGGCCATGAACTGTGACTCTACCTTTTAATACTCCTGGAAAGATCACAGACCTACCAGGAAATTGACAGCCCTGGTTCCAGTCTCTGCCATGCCACTTACTAACCTAACCACCTGGTAGGCCTTTTCCCCATTTGAAATGACAGGATCCCAGTGGTGGCACTTGGTGATTTTTTTAGCTTTTATTAATTCCTTACAGTTGACAAAGCATTCACATAGGTGTCCCATAGTTTTTTCTAGAACTTTCCTGTAGATGGTGAAAGTAGGAGGCGGCATATCATAAGGGCAGGGGGTCTGTTACCCCTGGATTCAGATCCTGACTCAGCTACTTACTGTCTGTGTGACTTTACTAATACTCACCAAAAAGGGGACAATAGCAGGAAAACTTTCATAGGGTAAGATGAGATAACACATAAAGCAGGCTGAGGGCTAAGACACCCTTGGCCATTTAAGGGCCATTTGCTTTTGATTATACAGTTTGAAAATTTGTTGTTGTTTTCAAGGAATTACTGAGTGAGAGATAAATGGCAATATGTCCAAGTCAGCATGGAGGACCAGGACCCGCTGGACCAGAAACTTTTCCTCTGCCATAGTAAACAGAAAGGGGAAATGCCCAAGGAACATTTATAATGGCTAATGTACTAACAGTGCTAATTTGGTTGTGTTTTTAAACCTTTTCTGGACCATTTTGATGGTCTTTAAAAAGTGTCATCAAATCTCCAGGTATCAAAGAAAAAAAATCTACAGAATACGAGACAGCTCTTGTTTGACCTTTTCAATCAGTTAATTTGTTCAGCAAATATTTATTCTTAGCACTGAGTTCACTGCGAATTTTAAATAAACTCACTGAAAGATCAAGTCCTTTATAAACACATTTTAAGGCTAAGTTTTATCCCCATTTTCTAGGGGAGAGATTTATTCCTACTTCTGATTTCTCTTCTGCTCAGGAACAGGAATCTGACTGTACCTGAGAACAGAGATAATACTTGTCAGTCTGTTAGAGGGTAAACAGAGGGAAGGTATATAGAATTTTCCCTCCAGCTGTTCTGAAGATTCATAAAAACATCTGCAAAGCCCTTCCTGACTGTGATCCTGAAGAGAATCAACTAATACTTGCCACCTTGGTTTCAAGGCATTATATACCTTGGAATTACAAACATCTAATTTTTTTTTCAATCCATGACATACCTTTTCCTAACTCCACCAAATCCCAAAGTTGAGTGTTTAAGCTGGGCTTGATATTCGCTATATATAGCTAATATAGGCCGGGCTTGGTGGCTCACACCTGTAATCCCAGCACTTTGGGAGGCCGAGGCAGGCAGATCACGAGGTCAGGAGTTTGAGACCAGCCTGACCAACATAGCGAAATCCCGTCTCTACTAAAAGTACAAAAAATTAGCTGGGCATGGTGGCAGGCACCTGTAATCCAAGCTACTCAGGAGGCTAAGGCAGGAGAATCGCTTGAACCCAGGAGGCAGAGGTCACAGTGAGCCGAGATCGCGCCATTGCACTGCAGCCTGGTGACTGACAGTGCAAGACTCTGTATCAAAAAAAAAAAAAAAAAAACAACTAAAATAAAATTGTGAATCATAACCAATGGCATATTCATTAATGAAATGGAGTAAAAATAAAAAGGCGGCTAATCTAGGAATAATTGAATGATGGAGCGGTTTTGCTGAGTCATATTACATATACCTGACTCATCCCAAAGACAGAGACAAATTCCTTGCGCTCCCCAGGCCAACAGGAGATAGCTTGGAGGGGCCTCCATGACTTTAAGTTTTATCACCTAGTCTTATTAACATCAGGGCTGAAGATGTTAGAGAGTTTAATAGGCATTTCAGAATCTGTGACACCTAGCCTCTCAGTGGATACTATTTATTTGTCATTTCAGCCGTCTTGTTCTTCTCAACATCAGCCCTGCCCAGAACTCCCCCTCTCCTCTAGCAGTCCCCCATCCTTCCTCAGATGCTTACACACACTCACTTTACGTATAACCACGTAATAGCCTCCTGTTAAAGGCTCCAGCAGCTCATCATCTCTAGCCTGACAGGCCCTAGGATGCAGACTACCAGGGGCTGCTGGACCAGAAACTGTCCCTGCGCCATAACTCAAGAGAGAGGTAGGATCAATGACAGATTTACAGGAGAGCACAGTTTTAAATAGCTGAGATCAGTGTCTGGAGGCTTCCCGTTAATACCACTAACGGCGTCCAGCAAGCGAGACTATTGGCCACTTTGTTACCCACTCTAAACTGTTTCTGATATTCAACTCTATTTTCAAACACATCCTAAGAAATCCCTACTCCCCCAAAATTGACAATGCAGCCTTCTTTATATGAAACCTTGTTTATAGGCCACAATTCTCCCGACAGATTTACAAGTGTCTGTGGAGTTTTAAAAGACGATTGCTTAACAGGCATTAAGTGAGACACATAGGACTGTGTAAATATTTTAGCTGGAATAGGATTTTTTTAAATGTCTGAGCCAAATATTGCATTAAATCTGAAGACAGTGGCAAACTGATTAGCAGTGGCTGCCAGCTCCATGCTTTGCCAGTGATTCTGGAGCCAAGACTAGATACCAGAATTCATCCACCAGATTAGGTTGTGTGTTTTAAAAATAACTTTCCATCCTTTTTTTTTTTCCCTCTCTTCTCTTTATGCCTTTCTGTCATTTCTCCTTTATTCCCTCATGGTTCATTTAGATGTAAACACTTTCCAGAGTAGAAAATTACAGTTAATGTGACTAACCAGCGAGGGCTGAAACGGGAACATGGGCTCAGAGGTCAGAGAAACCGTGGAAGACTTGCAGCTGTCCTGGTGGAGCAATGTGGGGACAGGTTGCTTTTTACTAATAGGCCTTGTGTATCTTAATCACTGGCCTCTTTGTAGCCAGCTGTTGCACTGCTGGAAGGGGACTAGTCCTAAGACCAGCATTGCTGTAATACCTCTTCCTCTTACTGATTTCCTTGATTCATAAAGAGGCTCAGGCCTGTGGCCTTCAAGATGTGTATGTGTGAGAGAATCCTCAATTCTAGTAAAAATTGCCACAAAATATGCATTTTGACTTCAGAGGACATATTTAGTATTTAAGCATTCCTATAGGAGTACTATTTTCCTGATTAGAGCAGTGGATAAGATGTGTTGCTATAATTTTGGGAGGAGTGAGGCGTTCTAGCTAACAACTTTGCTCTGCCTTTGCTGACTTTTAACCATTGTCTTGCACTAATGATACCTGTATGCTTCTTGAAGTACTATTCAATGGGAGTGCCCCAAAATATAGGCTCTATATGTTCTTCACAAATGACTTGAATTGCAATCGTATGTCCAAATGATTACTTGATATTGTTGATTGGAAAGTCTGAGCATTTAAAATTTTGTGTGCTCATAATTATATAAATGTATATTACAAAACTCTGAGTGTTTGATGTAAGTTTGCTGTACACTTCCCCCAAGTTCAGACAGCTTTGCTAGTGCTGACAGTAGCATAATTTACATTCCAATTAAACGTGACACATTAGGGCCTTTCAAAAAAAAAAAAAAGAGCTACTTTCATGCACAGGCCTCAAACCTAGTTTTATGCTGTGATTAATCCCCAATTTCTATATCAACTCTCATATATCACCAGTTATGGTCTTGTGTTTGAGTAAATTACTTCAGTGGATGGATGGTCCTCTTACTGTTTTCCATTCCAGAGTTTTGCACTTCCAATGTGATGACCGTAGTCCCTACATGACAGTGACAGGCACCGTTCTAGCTTGCATGGAGCCAGCCACCTCTGCAGAGTGGTACAGAAAATGGTTTTATTTCCAAAATCTCTCCCCTTCATCTCTCCCATTGTGGTACAACCCATTTTGTACCAAAAACAGTTTGACCACTAATATCAAGAATTCTACAAAGGTTTTTCCTTTTTACCTATAATTTCATTTCTTGTATCTTTTATCTTTGTATCTTGTATCTTTAGGTCATTTCCTAAAGAAATGACCCTCAACCTAGAATAAGTTTGTATGGACACAGATGTGGCTCAAGCCTGACTCCCCATGAGAATAAGGTAGAAAGGATTTCACTATCCAACTACAGGAGAATTAAGTGAGCTATGGCATGCCTACCTGATGAAATTTTATATGGCTGTTAAACATGCTTGTGGAGTTTGTGAAATAACAGGAGAATGTGTGCATGATATGTTAATAGAAAGAATCAAAATACAAAAAAATTCTTTATCAAATATAAGTAAGGCAACCCCCATAAAATGATGGAGGGGCAAGGAGCGCGATACCGAGGCCCAGACCCTGAAAGAGAAAGTATGCAAGTCTTAGATGGTGACTGTGTTCTGGTCATGGTGTCATGACCGATTTGTTTTTTCTGCTGTTTTAAAAATGTTTTTCAAATGTCTTTGTGTGTATATGTTACCTTCCTAATACTTTTTAGAAGTTAGTCGCTGCTCTCCTCCCGAAGATGAGTTCCCTTCCCCTTCAGAGGCCCGGTACCTCCATGCCTGGGCTGCCTGCCTAGGACCCCTGCCACACAGTCCACCTCGATGCCAGAGCTTGCAGTATGTGCCTTTTTCTTCCATGTTAACACAACTTTCCTACCTATTGTTTTTGAAATCCCCTACCTCCTAAACCAATCTTAGAAATACATTTCTACTAAAGCATTAAATTATTCTTGACAATGTTTTCTTTTTCAACGAATACATATGCATTTCTAATGAAATTTCTGGAGTTACCATCTTTAATTCAAGGGAAGGCTTCTCATGGTGGCGATTTTTGTGGGGACCAGTGAAAGGGATGTTTTTGAATAAATGTTTGAATCGCTTAACACCCTATAAATCAAATCATGCCCAATCCATCTATATTTAGGCCTCGTCATGGGTAGGTGATTAATGAATATGTTTCATGCTAATGTCTCGCAGACCGAGGCTGCGTCCGTAACCACATAATCATCACAGTGGAAATTCTGACTCAGCTGTGACGTTTGGTAGGCGGGACCTTTGAATGGTGCTTTAGACAATTCCGTGCAAAGGCTGTAGTCAGTGGCCCAGCTTTGCAAGTCTTTCCAAAAGTCCTAAAGCGCACTAGCATGTCCTCACTTGGCCCTGTCACCTCTGCTTAAATTTTTTCATGGAGAATACTCACTCCCAATCATGGTACATTAAGGTGAATTTGATCTTGGGCAGCCTCCCTCAGTGGAGTGAATCAGAATCATGGGATTCCCCTGGACTCCAGCTTCCTGGTGGGTTTATTTTTATGGAACATTCCTCTGGAGAAAGAGGCAGCCGCTCTGTAAAGGGCTAGACCTCTTCTGCACGTGATCAAAGTAGCCCTAGAGAATATCTTCTTGTATGGAATGATTTTTATGACATGATGGCTTTGGGAGTTTTCTTGAAAAATTAAAGGAAGAATCTTTCTAAGGAGTCCTACTACCATGAAAGGAAACTATCAAAAACATCCCAGGCAGATAAGAACTAAATCAGTTTTAAAGTCACCAAGAAAACAACACTTCCATGGCCTCATTTGATCTTTAGCACTTGACCAGGAAAACTAGAGCTATCTTTTAGGCTTAATTCCAACGACTTCCCCATTTTGGCGTTCTTTCTGTAGCTTAACTTCTTAAACAAGTGGCTACAGAATCTTTCTCCATTTACCTCACGCCTCTCCAAGCTGGCTTTTTCCCCGCACCCCCAACTTCCCTGGAACTGCTTTTGAGATTACAAGTGACCTCTGTGTCACTAGAATCAGTGTTATTTCTCTGTCTTCATCTCACTTGATCCTTCTGCACAGAGCTGACTGCTCTTTCTTTCCTGCAATTCTGTTTTCTTCTCAGGTCATGTAACTCCAGACCTTCACTTTCCTACTGAACAGCTCTTCTCTGTTCATTGCTGGCCTCTCCTCCACTGTGCACATGCCCCAGGGTTTGTCCTGCAACACCTTCTCTTCCTTGGCTGTATTCTCCCCATGGCAATTCATATTTTGCTATCACTTTAAATACCAATTTTATACCAATGACTTCCTGGCATGTGTGTCTACTCCAGCCATGAGTCCCAGACTGCAGACTTTTATATACACTTGAGTGTCTAATTCACATTTCAAACTTAATGTGCTCTAAATAACACCTTTGATTTTCCACCCCGAGCTTGCTCATGACTCCCTCCCTTACTCTGATTAAATCTCTAGTCAAATAGCTTCACAGTGAGACTTTTCCTAACTACTTTAAGTAAAATTGCAAGCCCCTTATGTCTGTGACACTTTTCCTAACCAGGCTGGTCACCAGCCTTTTCACCGTTCACCTGAGTGTGTAACCTGGGATACCTTTGGGGCCCAGAAGCTTTTCTCCCCTACGCACACTCTTTCCTTTACACCAAAATCTGAATGCAGAACACCAGTGATCTGAGGAGAGAAGGTCCCACAGCTCCAGACATGCTACACCACTTAACTCATTCAAATGGCCCGTGCGTTCTCATCATGTATTACTTTTATTCATGACATTTCACCTTAATTCTCTTTCCTCACTGTGGTTGAGGGCTAGCTCCTCCTTGACCTTTGCAGTTCAACTCATAAGTTTTCTCTCCTGGAGAGCCTTTCCTGGCTACTAACTCCTGGCCCAGTCTGAAATAGAGGCCTATACCCAGCGTTCCATCACACCACACTATATCACAATTTGTTCATTTCCTTGTTTCTCATTGTTGCTAGACTGTGAATGTTTTTTGGAGGAGAAATGACCAGTAGGTCTCATTAAATATTTGTCCCCAACATTTAGCTCAGTGGCATACAGCAGATACTTGGTAAGTATTTTGAATGTATGAATGTTTATGGAACCCGGACAGGGATTTAAAAAAAAATGTGTATCTCGTATCTGAATGAGTGAATGTGAGTGAAAGTGGGTGAATGAGTGAATGTCAGTGTACTTGTGTCTTCTCCAGCCCCTGCCTCCATCTACATGTATTATACAAATGAAGAGAGATGTTTTTCACGTGTCGGTGTATGTGCATATGTCTGTGTCTACATATACATACATACAGTCATGTGTCACTTAACAACTGGGATATGTTCTGAGAAATGTGTCGTTAGGCAATATCATCATTGTGCAAACATCATAGAGTGTACTTACACAAACATAGATGGTGTAGCCTACTTCACACCTAAGCTAGATGGTATAGCCTATGGCGTCTACGCTACAAATCTGCACAGGTTTCTATACTGTTACAGTCCCCAACATTATTCAGTAGAATACTGAATATAGTTAACAGTATATTACAGTACTACTGGCTGTACTATACTGTAACTGTATTCAGTATTCTGCTGAATACTGTAGGCAATTATAACACAATGGTAAGCATTTGTGTATCTAAACAAAGGAAAGGTAATGCCTTGCTCTACAGTGTTACAAAGGCTACATCATCACCGGACTATCAGAATTTTTCAGCTTCATTATAATTTTATGGCACCATTGTTTTATATGTGGTCCATTATTGACAGAAGCATCATTCTGAGGTACATGAGTGTACATGTACTACAGCCAAATTCTATCAAGACACTAATATCCATACTGCACATGTGTAAGTTTCTCCCCTTTAACTGGTAGTTTATTCATTTATTTAGCAAATACCCATGGAACAGCTTTCACTAGATAGACATTACAGTAGATGCTGGAGATTTAACAGTAAGAAAAATACAGTTTCTGCCTAATGAGGGAGACAATCCAATAATCATGAAAAGGGGAAAGGTATACAGTGCTATGACTTTGTAACAGAGGGTCTCTCATCACAGAATGGAAGGTGGAAAAGAAATCCTGATGGCCGGGCGCGGTGGCTCACGCCTGTAATCCCAGCACTTTGGGAGGCCGAGGCGGGCAGATCACGAGGTCAGGAGATTGAGACCATCCCGGCTAACATGGTGAAACCCCGTCTCTACTAAAAATACAAAAAATTAGCCTTTGCACAGGGAGCGGGGGGCAGGGGGCTGAGGCAGGAGAATGGCGTGAACCCATGAGGCGGAGCTTGCAGTGAGCCGAGGAGATCACACGACTGCACTCCAGCCTGGGTGAAAGAGCGAGACTCCGTCTCAAAAAAAAAAAACCTGATGAGACTTCTGAGCTGAGGTCGTAATGATGACTAAGCACTGACTAGGTCCTGGTTACTAGGAAGTGAAGGAGAGTGGCATAGCAGGAGAACACCATAATGGGAAGAAGTGAGCATGTTTGAGGAATGGAAAGAAGGGCCACTGTGGCAGGGAGAGCAGGGTGAGGCTGGGAAGGCAGGCAAGACGTAGCGCATGTAGGGCCTTGCAGGCCAGCTTGAGGGATTGAAGACAACCTCTCAGAGTAATAGAGGTGCCTGCAGGTTTAAGCAGGGGACTGGCATAATGAGATTTTATAAAGGTCACTTTGACTCAGGTATGGAGAACAAATCAGAGAGAGGCAGGGTGGATATGGGAAGAACAGTTAGGCTGAGACTATAGCAGCCTGGTGAAGAGTAATGAATTCAGGAGTTCCGTAGGAGGTGAAACTGTGGGCTAGCTGTGTAAACTTGGGAGACACATCCCAGATATGGTTACTGAAATGTTTACCTGGATGACATTGTCTAGACAGAGAGCATAGCATGGGAGGAGGAGCAGCCTTATGCCAAACCCTAGAGAACTTTAACGTTTAATGACTCTGTATAGGAAGATGAGGCTGCATAGGAAACAGGGCAGGCAGAAGTAGGAGGAAAGCCCACAATGGGGAACACAGACGCTAAGGGACAAAGTGTTTTACAAAGGAGAAGTAGTCAAGATGCAGAATCCTGCTGGGTTGTCAGCGAAGGAGATACAAAATGAGGACACTGCCCACAGGATGGGTTAATTAGTGACTTCAGAGTGCTTTCTCAGTGTCACAATGGGGAGGAAGTAAATTTCAGTGGGTCATGAAACAAGAAATAGGAAAAAGTGAGTATTGCAAATTTTAAAAGACAGTTGGACTGGGAAAATGATTAGACTGTAACATGATTTGTTTATTAAACACATAAACATTAGGAATGTCAGTTATTCAAAGAGTTTGTGAGGTTGCTGTTATTGTTTAGCTCTTCTTGGAAACAAAGAATAAAGCCGCGTACAGTATGTTATCTAGCCAGCCTTTCTACTGTTTGATTATTTAAAATAGCTGAAGAATATTTTGGCTAGCGTTTTACTATTCAGCATACAAAATGCTTTTTTTTCACATGTTTATTTAGTCCTCACAAGATTTTATGTATCAAGAAACTAAGAGTCAGATATTAAATAACTTTTCCAGCCAAATAGAGTGTATGAAAAACTAAGAATAAATGCATCTTTAAATCAAGAGTAGTTCAAAGGGGAAATTTTTTTTCTTTTTTTTTTTTTTTTATTATACTTTAAGTTCTAGGGTACATGTGCACAACGTGCAGGTTTGTTACATATGTATAGATTTGTCATGTTGGTGTGCTGTACCCATTAACTCGTCATTTACATTAGGTATATCTCCTAATGCTATCCCTCCCCACTCCCGCCACCCCACAACAGGCCCCGTTGTGTGATGTTCCTCAAAGGGGAAATTTTTCTAATGTACCAATTGTTGGTGTATATGTGTAAATATATATACATAGCTGTATGCCACAATTAAGAATGTGCGAAAGCTATTGTTTTAATTTTCCAAAAGTTAGCACTTTTAATTTAAATGCTTTACTTGTATTTCTCTTATTGAGTTCAGTTATTTTTAGTAGGTATTTTATTTTATTTTTATTTTTTTTTTTTTTTGAGGTGGAGTTTCACTCTTGTTGCCCAGGCTGGAGTGCAATGGCACGATCTCAGCTTACCACAACTTCCGCCTCCCAGGTTCAGGTGATTCTCCTGCCTCAGCCTCCTGAGTAGCTGGGATTACAGGCATGCGCCACCACGCCTGGCTAATTTTGTATTTTTAGTAGAGACAGGGTTTCTCCATGTTGATTAGGCTGGTCTCGAACTCCCAACCTCAGGTGATCTGCCCGCCTTGTCCTCCCAAAGTGCTGGGATCACAGGCGTGAGCCACCTTGCCCGGCCAGGTCTTTTATTTTAATAACGTTTGTTGCTACTTTTTGAAGATTGACTAATATGTTTAATTTCTCAATTACATGTGCATCTCAAACTCATTTCCCACTTTTGATTCCTAGTTTAGTAATATTGTAAGTATTATAATGAAGACATAGTTGCACCTAAGATTTTTAAAATTATTTACCTTATATAAAGAAGTACAGATGAGGCATTCTTCATTTATCTGTTCATTATAGTTCCAGTTTAAGGCTGACTTTCTAATTAGCTTTAGGCAGCTTTATTAAGATGAAATCACATTCCACATAATTCACCCATTTAAAGTGTACAATCTGATGACTTTTGGTGTATTCACAAAGTTGTACAACCATTGCCACAATCAATTTTTTGAAATTTTTATTACTCCAAAAGGAAAACTTTTCTCCCTTACCCCCTTAGCTGTCACCTCTCTCTCTCTCCCTCTTTCTCTCCTAGTCCTCAGCCACTACTAATCCGCTTTGTCTCTATAGATTTGCCTACTGGGACATTTCATGTGAGTAGAATCATAGGATATGTGGTCTCTTGTGATTGGCTTTTCTTACTTAGCATAATGTTTTCAACGTTCTTCTATGTAGTAGTATGTACTTGTACTTCATTTGTTTTAATGGCCAAATATTTCATTCTGTGTATAAAGTATATTTTATTTATCCATTTATCAGACGATGGATGGGCATTTGGATTGTTTCTACTTCTTGGAGTATACTAAAGCTCTATTCACTAAGTACAATGTTCTAATTAGCTTTTGAGGCATAGACACTATGTATGTGTAGATATAAAAAGGCACTTGTTTGTCTATAAAAAGGCACTTGTTTGTCTAAGTCCATGTATGTAGCTACATTATTCTGAGATAATATTTTGACCTGGGTTCCATGTGTCTAAAGCCTGTGTTTTAACTTGAATGGACAACTGGGAATTCGGAGTTTTTTGACCACTTTAAATATAGTGTCTTGCCTTTGGATGAATAGAGTCATTAGGAGGAAAAATTTGCATATGATGTCAGGTGAATCCCCAAACCAAGGTTAAAGAAGGAAAACACCTTTGGTTACATATAGATTTTCCACATATGGGTCATTAATGCACAGTTGTCTGATTTGAGCTGAGAAATGTGGGCTTTGAAGGGCTATTTAGTAGAAAATGGGTGTAGCGGTCCCTTTCAAAATCTAACTTATGTCGGTGTCTCCTTGAATAGATTTCCCCTTTGCCCTCTCCTAGTTATCCTCACCCTGTGATTTCCAGTAATACCACTCCCTACTCTTAACCCTGCCAAGATTTAAAATACTCCTGCTGTGTAGCATCAGACCTCAAGAACATGAAATAGGTACTTTTTATTGCAGGCTTCTGTCATTTGTTTTTGGCTTAAATCAACTTGAAACCTCCCTTTGTGTGGCCTTTTCTATATGGCCTTATAAAAAAGTGTGTACAGTAGATAGCCACAAAATAGTACCTTCTCATTTGTGCCAAGCTTTAATAAGCAAATGAAAAAATATCTAATATTTTATTAATTGTAAGTATGATTTTCCCCTTTCATAGAAGTCCATGCATTGCTGCTAGCCAAAATAAAATATTACTGTTCTAACTTTAGTATTTTATTACATTGCATTTCATGTAATTCCTTAGTCAGTTTAAGGCCAATGCCATAAGAAGAAAATTGTGCAAGTTAAGCTAATATTGAGATTCTGAGTTCTGAATTTGTTTTTACATTTGTTTTGATAAAAGTGTGTTTGGGGGCAGGAAGCTAAAAGGACATTCACTTTTTCTAACCACGTCCTCCCACCCCACCACCAGGAAGTGCACTAGACGGTCCTGTTCTTACTAAAGGGATTAAAGTAGAAAAGATGAACATGGAAGGAAATAACTCGTAGGTTTGCCTGCAGTTCAAGTTACTAGAAACAATAATTACTGCGTGCCATACCCATTAAGAAATCTTAGTTGGTGACCCATTCACTATAATGTCTGAGGGCAGAGAATTTAGTCTGTTTCTTTTGCTGATGGAACCCCAATATCTGACACAATTTATGGCACGTAGTAGGTGCTCAGTAGACATGTGTTGAATTGATGTGTTTATTTATTTTATTTTATTTATTTATTTATTTTGAGATGGAGTCTCGCTCTGTCGCCCAGGCTGGAGTGCAGTGGCACAATCTCGGCTCACTGCAAGCTCCGCCTCCCGGGTTCACGCCATTCTCCTGCCTCAGCCTCCCGAGTTGGGACTACAGGTGCCCGCCACCACGCCCAGCTAATTTTTTGTATTTTTAGTAGAGATGGGGTTTCACCGTGTTAGGCAGGATGGTCTCCTGACCTCGTGATCCGCCCGCCTCGGCCTCCCAAAGTGCTGGGATTACAGGCGTGAGCCACCGCGCCTAGCCGAACTGATGTATTTATTGAATGGATTCCTGTATGATAAACTCCTTAACCAGGCATTCTAGGCTTTTGATCTCTGGCTTCACTTTATGTCTCTCATCTAAGCCCCATTGATATAATACAAGAATTTGCTTTAGTAAAAAAATTCCATATGTTGCTGCAGCCATTTTCTATGGCGGTCCTTTGAGCAGGGAGCTTGTGAACAGGACATGGATCTTGTAAAAGTGAGGAAGAGGCAGAACTGGCGCAGGACTGTGGAAGGGTGGGGTAAGACTTAGGTAACCAGACAGGGAAGAAGAGAGAACTCTGGAAAAGCAGATAGCCTGATAAACCTTTCCTTTCCTCTAAAACTGTATTCTGACTTAACTAAGCCCACAGGTCCTTCAGCTCATACAAAAAGAAACAAGTTTCATATCTTCATACCAATTGCCCACATACATTTGATTTACAAAGCAATTAAACGTATTTGACTTTGATGAATTATATCTGGGTCTTACTGCTACATTTTTCTAACCTGCCTAGGCTTTTTAAGTGGCTTAATAAGCTTTATTCCCTTGTTCTTAGGGGTGAAAAACAAAAAACAGATAATTCTGACCTTAACAGCCTAATATCTGAAATATTAAAATAGTCTAGGCCATATCTTTCCTTTCACTAAAATACTCCACCAGTGTTTAACCTGTAAGTGAAAATATTCTCCATGTAGTCTCAGTTATTTCACTATGTATTGGTTTTTAATATTTCATCTCTGTCTCACAGTGATCACTTAGTAGTAACTAACTTCGGAAATTAATATATTTTTAATTGCCAAAAAATTGTGTAAAGAGAAAAATAACAGAAAGAGAACCTGGGGTGACTTTGGCTTTTAACTGGAGCTCCTGGCACAGCCCACGCCTGAGGCAACCTTGGTGGTCTAGCAATATCGTATGCGAGTCTTCCGGTTGAACAGTGAAGGACATTTGTGGATCTGTCCATGACCTCTCTCCTTTATGCACTGCCAGTCTCCGGTGTCATCATTAATTAGCCTTCAGGTCTCCCATTTGTCTGCTAGAAAGCATCTCGGATAAGCCAAGTCAATAAATTGGAGCAGGCAAGCTGCCTGGCCTCCGGGGCGCGTGGCTCTGTGGGGACCGTCGGAGGGCAGCCCTCTCCTTTGATCATGTGGGGAAGTTTAATTCTTACAGGCCACGTGGGAATCCCAGCCCGTGGGGCTGCAGAGAGGGCCTTGGAGCACAGCAGTGGAGCTGCTCTCGTTTGTACTGGTTTCAGTTTCTAATTTCAAAACCGCGAAGCTCAGAGGCCTAGGGGAATTGTTTCCCATTTTGCTTCGTCTTTCCCCAAGACTTCGCCTGCATTCTTCAGTGAATTCTCACAATGGGTGGTGGAACTTCAGCACGGGAATGAAAATCATTATCCCTATGTTCTAAACAGGAGATTTGCACCGTGGCATATTTCCGTAAATACAGTGCCCAGCATCTGTAGCAAATAATCCCCAGCCATGACTCTCTTGCTGTTCTGACCTTGACATGTTTCCCAACCAATTTTAGTCAAACATAAAAATAACAAATAATATTTATGAGCCTGCTTGTGAGTGCCAGGCATTCTGCAAATCACTATGTATGTATTATCTTAAATATCATATCATGCCTGTGTTGCGGGAGGTCCCCATTTTGCAGATGAGAAAAACAAGCCACAGCCCACCTGAGTCCTAGTGGGTCTCAATCCAAGCACAAGCTCTTTACCACCCCCATGATATGGCCTCATAAAATTGGAGCAATTTGATGGGCACCGCATGGGCTCTGTCACCACATCTAGCACAAAGGGAGAGCTGCAGCGATCAACCCTGTGAATTCAGGCAAAAGAGAAAGTATTGCTTTTGTAATTGGGGAAACAAGCTCTGCCTTCAGCTTTGCTTTCACCAGGGAGAAGTAACCTTGAAGGAGTTATTGTCAGGCGTTCGATTATATCCTATTAGTAAATTGCAGGCATGTTTTATACTACGTTCATGAAAAACAATTCTATATAAATGAAATTGTTGGAATTTGAATATAGTAGAGGGTTAATTAAATAATTTAAGGAACTCCTCCCAATTTATATTGTGGGAAATCCTAGCTTTTCTTTAACTGTATTCTCAGAATCATAGCTGGAAATAATCAGGAAAGTTTATGTGGCCACAAATGTTCATTGAGAAATGCTGATTCCTTAAAACAGATGTCTTTCCTGCTTCCCTGCCTACCTTGAGAACTACCCAATCAGGATAATCATCTTTGTTACCTTTGTTACCTTGCTTATGACTCATGGGATGAGGTGGTGGACATTTCTGGGGGTCTTTAAAATACACTCAAACCTTAGATCATCTTGGGACACCTCACCATGTTTGAGGAGTACAGAGACACAGAGACGGTGACCCCTTGGTGCAGGGGAAGGGCAAGCAAGTCACATTGCATCTCTGGAAAGCCCACTTGGAGTCTGGGTCAACATTGCTAATATGTATGTATATATATTTTTTAGACAGGAGACAGGGTCTCACCCTGTGAGACTAGGCTGGAGTGCAGAGGTGTGGTCATGGCTTATTGCAGTGTCGACCTCCCTGGGTTCAGGTGATCCTCTCACCTCTGCCTTCTGAATACCTGGGACCACAGGTGCACACCCCCATGCCCAGCCAGTATTTGTATTTTTTGTAGAAACAGGGTTTCACCACTTTGGCCAAGCTTGTCTCAAATTCCTGGGCTCAAGTGATCCACCTGCCTTGGCCTCCCAAAGTGCTGGTATTAGAGGCACGAGCCACTGTGCCAAGCCAACATTGCTAATTTTATTTAAACTTTCCTACACGTGAGAATCTAGTTAAGATGAAGAAACCTTTTTTCTTCATCTACTTTTCCCTTTCTTCCTTTCTTTCTTTCCTTTCCCCTTCCTTCCTTCTTTCCTTCCTCCCTCCCTTCCTACCTCTTCCTCTCTCCTTTCTTTCCTTCCTTCCTTCCTTCCTCCCTTTCCTTTTTTCCTTTTCCTTCCTTCCTTCCTCTTTTTCTTTCTCTCTTTGTCTCTCTCTTCCTTCTTTCCTCCCTCCCTCCTGCCTTGCCTTGCCTTGCCTTTGCCTTTGCCTTTCTTTCCTCCTTTCATTCTTTCATTCTTTCTTTCCTTTCTTGTCTGTCTGTCTCACTCTATCACCCAGGCCAGAGTACAATGGTATGACACTGCAGCCTCGAACTCCTGGGCAGAAAAAACCCTCCCAGATCAGCCTCCCATGTAGCTGGGTCTACAGGCATGCACCATCATGCCTGGATAACTTAAAAAATTTTTTTTGAGAGACAAGGTCTCACTGTGTTGCCAGACTGGTCTTGAACTCCTGGCCTCAAGTGATCCTCCCACCAAGGCCTCTCAAAGCACTGGGATTACAGGTGCAAACCACGACATTCAGCCAAGATAAGGAAATCTGATGCTTTCGCCAGATACATGGAGCTCTCTAGAGAAGTTTGGGGAGAAGTAAATGAATCCTGCATGATGACTTCTCAGGGATTAATGTATGGACTTTTACATAAATATTAAAGGTAAAACATAAATACTGTGCAGACGGTGATAGATATGTTTGAAAGATGCAAAAACATTGGATTGAAAAATGCTTTGTGGCAATGTTGGCATCTCAGAGAAGCTTTTTAGGATGAACAGGACTTTGTCAGATATTGTTGAAAGAATGTATGGCATGAGAGCAGAGCAGAGAACCACATGAATGAAGACATGGAACTGGGAATGCCGAATAATGTAACTGGAAAACATTGAACAGCTTTGGTTTGGTTAGTCAAATACATGTGGGAAATAGAGCTGAAATATGCCATAATGGAAAAGGCCTTAAATAATCCAAGTCCCCGAAGTTTGAATTTAGTTGAATTCGTGATGAGAACCCATTAATAGTTTTATCTTCTTTTGTACCTTTCCCCCTTTGTTTTCAGGGGACAAGATTGCCTTACAATTTATAGAGACTAGAGAAAACTTAAGCATCAAATTTAACTCTTGATGTCCTCTGTCTCTTAAAAAAACATAATCCAACAAGATACTTCCCCACTATTCTCTATCTCAGCAAATGGCACTTCCAGCAACCCATTGCCCACCCCTTTACCCTTCCATCTGCTTCAACCCTACCTTGACTGAATCAGCAAGACCTATTTGTTACACCTGCAAAATATATCCCAGCTCTATCTACTCTCTCGCTCCTTGGACGCTACTCTAGCGCAAAGTGTCCTATTTTGAGAAAAGAATGGTAGTGGGAAGGACATACTTACCATTTGGCCACAGATCCATCTATTTCAAAAGAGGTGAAGGGTAATCTCATAATAGCAGAGAAGCTATAAAGTAGTTATTGTAGAGAGGACAAAAAGGCTTACAAAGAAAGGAAAAAAATGTGGAAAAAATGAATGTTTTAAATGATTATTTGACTGGATTTATAGAATTTGTTCTAGTTGTTTCAAGGTAAGATTTGTATTTTTTCAATAAGATAAGTCATTTAAAAAATTAGTCTTTGCCTCCCAATGGACAGGATTTCCTAGATAGCCTTGGAATGGTTGTCAGAATAGCTAATAGCAGATATTCTAGATAGCTCTATAAAAACTCTTTAAGAAACAATGTCAATAGATAGAGCTTGAATTTCGGTACCCCTGTCCTGTGACCTAGCATCCCTGTATCATGAGAAATCCCTAGATACCTCTGAAAATGTAGGTGATTCTGACCTTGACTCAGAAAATGACAAAGGGTTCCCTCAAATTGTACTTTCATTTTCAGCACCGTTTTGTAGTCCCCAGGGTTGTCTAGGATTTCTGCAATCTAGTTGGCAATATTGCAAATGAAAAGTGTCAGATAACTAATTTCAGAGAACATTTAAGTGGTGTCTTTTGCATTTTCTCTATTTCTGAACTGACATGTTTATTGCTTTGCCTGCAGTATACGTTCTGAGATGCTAGTTTTAAATATGCCAAATTATTGGATAGGAATTTCCCAATGTAAATAAAGATCTCCTTCCCAACCTCCTTCTTCCAAAATACCTTACCTGTGTGTTTATAAATTGCTCCAAGATCTGTAGTATATGTTTCTCTATTTTGTGAACCCCAGGTGGCATGATATCTTTATGGTGAAATCCAGTGCTTTATTAATAGGCTTTTGGACAAGAACATATCTAATTTCCAGCCATGGTCAACAGATGAAAGTGATCTTGACTCAGCTCTAGCTTTGTAGAAACGAAGCCTTTCTTTTCCCAGTGCATGCTGTAACTGGCACAAACACATAGGAACCTTGGGGAGATGCCTCTTGGCTGGGTTAACTGCCTTTTGTGATGGTGAACTATGATTTACTGTGGCTTCCCTGTAGACAAATCGTAACTATCCAATAAGGTAGGTCATTTTTAAAAAGTCAAGTCACCTCAGACCTGATTATCAAAAAGTACTCTATTACAAATTTTAGATAGTCTATCTGAAGTAAATTATGTAAAATTATTCCCCTTGTGTTAGTAGAGGATTAAAAGGAAGGGTAGGTGAACGGGAAGCATGAAGAACTGACAGGGTCCTCCCCGACCTGGTCTTAGTTCTCATGTTGGGATGCGTGTGTCACCCTGGCCAATCACTAGGTTGGTAGTTCTAGACAACTTGGGTGCCTGAGAATTTCTGCAATATATTTTTCAAGCTCTACTTTTGGAGTGTGAATCTGAGGAGGGCTGAGGCCCTTAATTTCGTGAGACTAATCCTCAAGTAGTTTTTGCCTCTCTTTATCTTTGGGAGAACACAAGCAGAATACTTTACCTATCCCAGGTCAGAGACTTTTCTGGATCTCTAGAAGAAAAATGGAAGGATTGTACATTGCCCTGTTCCTCAAGAGTGGTGTAGAATGAACTAATTATTTTTGTTGGTTTGTTTATTATTTCTGGGTTTTGTTCCCCCTGCCCCCCAATCCTGGAATTTGGACCAACAGTGGTTGACAAGGAGTGTGCACAATTGATAGCCAAGTGCATAGCACAGTACCTGGCCCATAGCAGGAGCTCAGCAAATCTGTGTTCCTAAGTCTAATTCTAAATTTCTCTTCACAGCAAGTGAGAAACAGATGGTGGTGGTGTGCAAGGAGTCCCCAAAGGAGTATCTCCAGCCTTTCAAGGACAAACTAGAGGAGTTCTTCCAAAAAGGTAGGAAGCTTTGTCAGCCGCACATACACGTGGCCCTGAAACATCCTTCATTCCATGAATCTTTCTCTGAGGCCCACGGCCCCTGGCATCCTGGCTGACCACAGGCAGCTCTGGTGATTTCATTAGCCCATCTTTCCATGGTGGTTACATACTCACGGTAGATAAAGTTGTCCTGTAGCTTTCATATCACCTTTCAAATCCAGTTTAATATTTTAAATTCTTGAATGTTACTCTGGCTTTTGTAAATTCTCTGAGGACAAACTTTTTTGTCTCTTCATGGGGCTCAAGGAATTCCTTAGCCCGTGTTTACTGACAAATGACATACATGTAAGGCAGATGTGGTCATGCATTTCACATTTGTGGTCAACCTGGACAGGTGGATGGTGATCACCCTCCTGGTTTTATGAGTGTAGCAACTTGGAAACTTGTGTTATATTTTCCATTCCTTTTCAGATAGGAAAATTAGGGCCAAGTGAATGTCACCCATCAATCACTTGCTACCTATCAGCCCTCTGGGGGTTAGTCAGTGAAAGTGATGTGCTGGTATGCATGAGACTCCACACTTTCTTTGAAATCTTAACAGATTTCCTTCCTTCACAGTTTTGGCATGAGTAGGGAACTTCTGTTTATCAGGGTTAGTGAACATGGAAGTATCATGTCTTTTAGATAATTCCTATTCTAATTTCTCAAATTTAACTTAAGATGTAAAACAAAAATAAGTGTGGGGTTGTTGCAGGCAGCTTTTTTCCCTGCTGGAAAGCTAGAGGAAACACACATAGGAGCCTTTGGGGGATATCTCAACATGCTTTTTCTATTACTGAGTAAGGCCACTTGTTACCACACCATCAACAAAAGACTGTTAAGCAGGGTGAATGCATAAAGTGTGGCCAAACCAGCTTGAGAATCAGCAGGGAAATTCTCAGTCTATGAGTCAGAGGAACTCCATTCCAGCTGCTGTTCCCTTGGTGCAGAGACCATTGCTCCCTTCTCCATGATGAAAGGTTGTCTGTATTGAAGTAGGAGAAGTCAGATTTCTCTCTCAGCCATTACAGAACCTCATATATGATGGAAGAAATGCTGTCAGACAAAGTACCATCTTGAGAGCAAAGATACCAATACTTGTGTGCTATGTGACTATAGGAGATGGATTTTATAAGTGACTTATCAAAAAATGCATTGCTGTATAATTATACTGTGTAAATATAACCTAAGTAGCCTGAAGAAAACCATGAACTACTTCCCTTTGCTGACCCCAGTTAATAGTATCTGCTTTTTACATATGTAGAATTAACTTGAAATGAGGCTCATTTGTACTTGGATTCCATCTTTATTTTTAATTGCTATTCTATTTCTAGAAAATTTTGCCATGTGCATGTCAGGGTACTATTTACCTGCATGCTGTAATGCTCTTAGAATCCTGCGTCTGCAAAGCAGCCAGCTTATATTGTGAATTTTATTCTTTTTGTTGAAAAGACATAAATATGAATAGATTTAAAACCTTGAGAATCTTCTTTGGTACCTTGGAAAAGCAATTTGCAAATCCCCATTTGGGATAATGTGTTAGCCTCTTCTCTACTAGGGCTCCCAAGACAATTCTGGTCTATTCAGAGAAACGGAATTTATATGAGGGAAACTGGATCTTATGACAGGGAAGTAAAGGTATGGCCATAGGAAGCTGTTCTAAGAAAGTCCTAAAACAGTGGTTCTCAACTCTCTTGCATACTAGAATCACTTAGGAGATTTTTTAAAATCTTGATACCCGGGCCCAACTCTAGACCCATCATCAGCATCTCTCAGGGTGGGGCCAGGCATCAGATTTTCTTTCTTTTTTCTTTTCTTTTTTTTTTTTTTTTAACTCTCCACGTAATTCCAGTGTGGAACCCAGATAGCCAGTACTCTCTAGCTTAGTTCACCTTTTAATGTGTATTCAAAGATTTATTCTGAGCCTGCTATAGGTTAGGCTCTATGTTAGAGACCAAGAGTACTAAGATTAATTGTATACTCCTACACTCTGTCCCAAGGAATATCTTAATGGGAAAAGATCTATAATTGAATACAACGAGCTCTTTTTTTTGTTTGTTTTTTGTTTTTTTTTTTTGAGGTGGAGTTTTACCCTCATTGCCCAGGCTGGAGTGCAGTGGTGCGATCTCGGCTCACTGCAACCTCCACCTCCCGGGTTCAAGCAATTCTTCTGCCTCAGCCTCCCAGGTAGCTGGGATTACAGGCGCCCACCACCACACCCGGCCAGTTTTTTGTATTTTTAGTAGACATGGGGTTTCACTATGTTGGCCAGGCTGGTCTCGAACTCCTGACCTCAGGCGATCCACCCGCCTCGGCCTCCCAAAGTGCTGGGATTACAGGCGTGAGCCACCTTGCCCGGCCAATCAGCTCCTGACTTACAGATGAGGTAAAAGTGACAATCAGCTCATCAGCTCCTACTTTACAGATGAGGTAAAAGTAACATTAGGAATAACATCAAATCATGCTTAAGACAAAACCAGCCAAAATATGACACAGATTGAATTTGAAGGAAACATTACCATTCTATTAAAAAAGTTAAGAATATAAAAATATATATACTATTGTAGGAATCTTAAACATTCCCAATACCGTATGGTAGAAAAGTCTACTGTTGAAATAGCTTGTTACAATTATTTCATTACTTAACTCATTTTGTCAAAACAGTCTAGAATTGTGCTGTTCGATGTGGCAAGCACTAGCCACATGTGGCTTTTGAGAAGCTGAAATGTGGCTAATCCAAACTGAGATGTCTTATGAGGGTAAAACACGGGGTTTTGAAAACTCAGCAGAAAAAACATGTCAAATATTTTATTGCTGATTTTTTTTACTGATTGCATGGTAAAGTGATAACATTTTAGATATGTTAAATAAATAAAACGATTAACATTCATTTATAGGTAAGTTAATAAATATGTTAATAACCTGACAAAATATATTAGCTAAATTATATTTCTTCTACTTCTTGAGTGTGGCTACTAGAAAATCTAAATTGTATTAGTGGTTCACATTCTATTTCTATCAGAAAGTGCTAGTCTAGAGGCATGTTCCGTAGGCTTTCCTCAGCTCATTCCTACACTCTCTTCTCATTGTCGCCCTGCCTTCTCAGCTTGAATCCTAAGTTACTGGAATGCAGAGTTTCACAAGCTAGCCCCCTGCCCACTCTGGGCCTGGCCCTTGTTTGGCTCTCAAGTGGGGCTACGTAACCAAAGGAGGTGACAGCATGCTACTTGGTCAGGCTGTTACCTCTACATTTCTGAAATGTATGGTTTAGGGTTTGTGGTTAAGAAATACATTATAGTTCACAGCAGTATGCTATGATGTAGGGGCTGGGTTTTTGCCAAATTGCAGTATATACAAATGGAGTATCTCCTCTCTACTGTGTAGAGTTCCAAATAGTACTTCATTTATTGCGTAGATATTTCACTGATTCGTAGAAAATGTAGGATTTTCCATTTGCCACAGATAGGCACTATTCACCATAGATAATCAAATTTCTATGACAATTGTCATACAGTTTATAGTATTTCATCTAATACGCTATTTATTGTAAGAAATACCACTATTACATGTACTACTAAAAAAGAAAAATTACTGCCATAAGCCACAACATGTAGACTCTTAAGATGTACCCCAATATCAGAGGCTCTAAAACGTGAAAATTCTATCAATTTTGGAGTTGGTGTAATGTGGTACTATAATTAGGCATATAGAATCAGAGAGGAAGAATGCCCAACACTTTTAGGTAAGACTTTCAGCAAAGAAGATATTTTTGTTTAGAGTTGAAAAAACAAAATAATAATGATGGCAATGATAATGTTAATATTTACTGAGTGCTTCTATCTGCTAAATACCATGGGGAACAAATCACCTTTTTACTTAGTCACCATGACAGTCCTTTGAAGTGAGTACTGTTACCGCCCTGCTATACAGATGAGGAAATTGAGGATTAGAAATTCTCAGCAGACAGGCTACAAAGGGCATTCCAGGCAGAGGAAAACACTGCAAGTCTCAGAAGGATGAAAGACATGATGTGTTTGGGAAATGGCAAGCAACTTGGTGTGGCTAGATCACAAGGCAAATGAGAAGAACACAAGACCAAAACGGTGATAAGAGTCACAATATGACTTGCTAAAGAATCTGAACTTTGTCTGACAGGCCGCAGATAATATTGAAAAATAATGTGTACAGGAGTGACATGATCATGTTGGATTTGTTTGCATTGTTTTGGTTTGTGCAATTATTTTGCAGGGGGTATATCTCTTTGCTTTTTGTTGTGGCTGAGAAATATGTTAGTTATAACTAACAGTAATATAAAAAAATATTGGACAAGTAACAGACTAATTAAGAACTTGAGCAAAAGCAATGGCAAAGCCGAGGTAGGAGGATCACTTGAGGCCAGGAGTTTGAAACCAGCCTGGGCAACAAAGTGAGACCCCATCTCTCCAAAAATTAGTTGAAAGTGGTGGCGCCTGTAGTCTCAGCTACTTGGGAGGCTGAGGTGGGAGGATTGCTTGAGCCCAAGAGTTCAAGGCTACAGTGAACTATCATTCTCCGTACTCCAGCCTTAGCAACAGAGCAAGACGCTGTCTCAAAAACAAACAAACAAAGCAATGGCAGTAAAAATAAGAAGGAAAAGACATAATTGTAAACAGTAAAGGGCTGTTTTAGGCATTACAGGACAGGTTAATAAATTGGATGTACAAAATGAAACAGAGGAGAATAGGGTAACTCCTTTTTCTTGCTTGGATAACTGGTTGGATACTGATAAGACTAGATTTGAGATGGAAGACAGTGAGGTCAACTTTAGACAGGTTAACTTTGTACATGTGAGACGCGCAGGTAGAGATGCTGGGCTCATGGGAGAGAGCTAGATGAGACAAAGGTTCAAGTCATAGGAATGAATGAGATAGCCCAAAGAAAAGAGTGTAGAATGAGGCGATACCTGAAGTATCAGAGTATCTGAGCACAGGATATCATATAACAAATGTAACTGAGAAAAGATACTTCTGTACTTCTACAGCACAGCTTATACAGAGTGTTTTGCAAGAAAGCTAATTCTCTATTAGGAGTCTTATCACTTATAAAGTTTTAAGCAATTGTGTTCTGTATGCCTGAGAAGTCACGTGCGTTGTGACTCAGGATTATTTTTATATCAGCTGCAATTCAGCTCTAACAATCATGATGATTTAATTTTTCTTCTGTAAATCATATCCTGTTGCCACACTCAGATGGAGATGATGCGTTTATCCTTATGTCTTTTTCATTCTTCCCTTCTCAGAATGTCCTTATATAGTGTTATTTGACAAAACTGTGGTACTTTTTCTTAATTTCATTTTCTGAGAAGAATTGAATGTAATTTTAATGGCACCACTTGGCGGGGTTGCAAACTCCATGATATCCATGCCTTTTTTCTTACGTGTCTTTTTTCTTTTCCACACTAGGCTCTTGTTGAAGCTGGTTTATAGCTCAGTTCAGAATAACCTTGTGCAGGCATTTTGTGAGCTCCTGCTTTCCCACCCTCAGATCAAACATGGTCATAATGATATGGCCTTCAAAACTGTGATGCTCACATTAAAAGTTCCCATAAACATGGCAGGGATCCTATAATTAAAAGAAGGCGCAGAGCAACTGATTAGATCCCAGGTATAGATCTTGTAGGTGGTCTTTTCATGCTGTTAAATTGGTCATTTGTATTTATAGCTTTGGCAGGGAGGGCTGGAACCTAAACTAGCTCTAATCCCAGCACTCTCCCACACTTGGCCTTATCTCATTCTCCGTTAATTTCGCTTGGCATCCATGAATGGAGCCAAATTCTGAATGATTCTGCATGAACCATTCTAGCCCTAGTCTATGAAACTATTTTCTAAGTTCCTTTGACCAGCTGAGATTAGAGATACTGTTTTTTTTGTTTTGTTTTGTTTTGTCTTGTTTTTTGAGACAGAGTCTTGCTCTGTCACCCAGGCTGTAGTGCAGTGGCGCGATCTTGGCTCACTGCAAGCTCTGCCTCCCGGGTTCACGCCATTCTCCTGCCTCAGCCTCCAAGTAGCTGGGACTACAGGCACCTGCCACCACGCCTGGCTAGATTAGAGATATTCTTAATATCAAAAATTGTTTTAGTTTACCTATGTAACAAACCTTCACATGTACCCCCAAGCCTAAAATAAAAGTTAAAAAAAAGAACTATTTTCTAGTAAAAAATAGATAAATTTACCAGGTTTAAAATAAACAAAAGCAGTAATTCTGATTTTCAACATTGAATGCAAAAGGAATTATATAAATAGATGGGTATTCCATGACAGCTGGGACTGTGTCTGTTTTGTCCTGTTCACTCACTTGTCCCAACATCATATAGGCTCAGCCTGTCCCATGATAGGTGTTAATAAGTGTTTGTTGAATTTATGAACAAACAGCTTGAATTGTGTAATGTACCTAGAGGCTATTTTTTCCTCCTCCTTGGGTTTTCTGTTTAAATCCTTTCAGAATTGCTGAATCATCCCAGAATCTGAAGAGGTACATTTTTGGTCGATAATACATTTCTGTGGTCAGACCTCCTGGATATAGAATCATCTTTCTATGTTGGGCATATGCACGTAATCTATTCTTAGTAAATACTTTGGTCAGATTAGATTGACAAAGGCCATACTTAAATCTCTAAGTTGCAAAATAAGAGCAGGTTATTACATAATCTCTTCACTTCAACCCCCAGAAATAAAGAAACAAAACTATCTGAATCACCATATTCAACCACTAAGGTTACAGAGATCAGGAAAGGTCAGTAATCTGAACAATGTAACCTGTGAGGGAAATAATTCTGACGTCCTTTACAAAGCTTGTGGAAAGAAGAAGTATGGCTAGAGAACATGAACTCTGCCTGAGCCAAAATGGGTTCTTGTATGCTCCACTGCTACTCAAGAAAATACCGACAGGCGTGGTTCCAAAGATCATTAAATGGCCAAGAATTAAGATAATCTCTTGTGACTTCCGGATCACTTAAGTAACAGAACAGTAATCCTTGGAAGATGAAGAAAGCTATTTGGCTAGGCGCAGTGGCTTAAGCCTGTAATCCCTGCACTTTGGGAGGCCAAGGCAGGCGGATCACCTGAGGTCAGGAGTTTGAGACCAGCCTGGCCAACATGGCGAAACCCCATCTCTACTAAAAATACAAAAATTAGCCGGACATGGTGGTGTGCGCCTGTAATCCCAGCTGCTCTGGAGGCTGAGACAGGAGAATCGCTTGAACCCAGGAAGCAGAGGTTGCAGTGAGCTGAGATCATACCACTGCACTGCAGCCTGGGCCACAGTGAGACTCCTCCAAAAAAAAAAATAAAGAAAAGAAAGCTATTTTATCACAGGTCTATTAGGTAGGCTTTTATCTAAAAGGGCTAGAGGGGATTTTTTTCCCAGAAATTCCTGCAAAGAGCGTATGTTTTCCCCCGAAGTCGGTTTCTAATGACTATCCAGTAATGGAGTTGTGAAATTATGGTATTTCCATACATTGGAATACTAAGCATCTTTTTTTAAAAAAAAGTCTGTATGTATTGACCTGGAGGATCCCTAATGTATATGTTTAAGTGGATAAAAGCAAGGGTCAGAAGAGTAGTTATGTTATTATTAGGTATATTATTTTATCATTCAGATAAAGATGAAGCAAAAAATGAATACTACCTAACAGTGAGAACAAATAAGAACTAACCTAAGACTGGCCGGGCGCGGTGGCTCACGCCTATAATCACAGCACTTTGGGAGGCCGAGGCGGGCAGATCACGAGGTCAGGAGACCGAGACCATCCTGGCTAACACGATGAAACCCCGTGTCTACTAAAAATACAAAAAAAAAAAAAAATTAGCTGAGCGTGGTGGCAAGCGCCTGTAGTCCCAGCTACTCAACAGGCTGAGGCAGGAGAATGGCATGAACCCGGGAGGCAGAGCTTGCAGTGAGCCGAGATTGCGCCACTGCACTCCAGCATGGGTGACAGAGTGAGACTCTGTCTCTGAAAAAAAAAAAAAAAAAAAAAAAAAACAAAAGAGAACTAACCCAAGACTGATATTCAGCTGGTCCTCACCATAACACCCATACAGGTTGCCTGTTCTGCTAGTTAGTACCTATGTTATTGTTAAATATTTAGACTATTACTCCTAAAACTAATCAAACAGGTTCATTGCTGCAGCAGGTAGAAAATAGGCAGATGAGGTTCATAGGCGTATGCAGATTTGTTATAAATTTGGGTGTTTTAACCAGTGAATACCTCTTAAAATAGTAAACAAATTTTTTTTGAAAAACAATTTTCTATAGTACTTCGCACTTCACATTTTTCCCTAAGATTCTGCTTCCTATTCATTGCTTCTCCATCATTATACCAACTGGGGTCCCTTAGCCACCTGAACCTAGAATTGGAAACCAAATGGTCTTACTCACAGTCTCATTACTTTCATTGGGTGCTGAACTGGACAACTTAAAAGGAAATCTGAAGGTCCCTTATCAAGCAAGATCTATGAGCTAGTACCTTGGTTTCTTTCCTATGGCTGCCTTCTTCAACATCGCTCTAGATGGCTCTATCTAATGGAAGCCTCCCAGTCAATGAGAAAATGCAAGGAAATGTTTAAAGGCATTGAGAGCTCAAGACAGTCTAATACACACAACACGTGTGCGCGCACACACACGTGCACACACATGAACCTGCTGGAACCCCTCCGTTCTTTCTCCTTGACTTGGATTGACTTCACTTATTTTGCTCATGCTTCCATCATCACTTCAGTTTCAGGCGTCACACTTTTGTGATGTTATTATTAGGTATGTAACGTGAACCCTAATTTACATTATGGTCAAGAAGAGGCCTCTAATATGTAGGGTGTTTTACCTGTTCCTCATATTTTTTTTCTTATTGCCATAATCCTGTTCTTTATTTCATTTGGGCTCTTCATTACACAGGTGCTTCAATGTACACTTTTATGAATATGCCAAAATGAGAGAGTAAAGATCTTCTCTCAGATTACCCCGACACAGACCATCCTTTAAACCTAATCACAAACATAGAACCAAATCTCAGTCATTTATATCTTGAGATCATTGTCAGGATCTGACCTCTTCCGTGGGTATTTGCATTTTAGGCCTTAACTCTAATTTTTTTGTTTGTTTGTTTTTTTGAGATGGAGTCTCGCTTTGTCACCCAGGCTGGAGTGCAGTGGCGCGATCTCAGCTCACTGCACGCTCCGCCTCCCAGGTTCATGCCATTCTTCTGCCTTAGCCTCCCGAGTAGCTGGGACTACAGGTGCCCGCCACTACGCCTGGCTAAGTTTTTGTAATTTTTAGTAGAGACGGGGTTTCACTGCGTTAGCCAGGATGGTCTCGATCTCCTGACCTTGTGATCCGCCCACCTCGGCCTCCTAGAGTGCTGGGATTACAGGCATGAGCCACCACGCCCGGCCTTAACTCTTAGTTTTTTAAAGAGTTTGTCTCCTGTTTTTCTGGAACTCCTGACCTCAAGTGATCCACCCACCCCAGCCTCCCAAAGTGCTGGGATTACAGGCACGAGCCACCACGCCCAGCCTTGTCTTCTGTTTTTAAACACTGTCTCAGAACTACATGCTAGTGGAAGAGAGATGGTAGTGGTTGGGTTTGGAGGTAAGATATTATTTGTCAGATAAGTATCATTAACTCTTACAGGGTCTTTCCTAGAGCAGCAGCAGATATTTACACACACACACACACACCCCTACATCTTTTCAACGTTATGGAACCAGTTTATTTGCTTGCTTTGGTAGAACAGGGGACTATACCTTAAACTGATTTTTACAACTTTGAGTAGGCCCTTAACCATGTAAGAATTGAAGTATTACTAAGGACAACCTCATGATGGTGTTATTGGGTAATCTCCTCATTTCCCTTTCATCATGGCAGAATCCAAGATAGTTTGATGAGACTCTGGAGCTGCAATTGCATTAACCTCTTTCTGATGATTGGAAATGTCCCCAGGTAGAAGTAGAGGATGGAGCCAAGTCAGTCAGCCTCTTTCTTTCTATGTATAGCCCCTTGTGAATTCACCCTTTTCACATTTCATTAGTTTGTTTTGGAAAAACTAGGAGGACATGAACTCATCCTTTTTTATGGTTGCATAGTATTCCATGGTATATATGTACCACATTTTCTTTATCCAGTCTATCATCAATGGGCATTTGGGTTGGTTCCAAGTCTTTGCTATCGTAAATAGTGCTGCAATAAACATACGTGTGCATGCATCTCTATAGCAGAATGATTTATAATCCTTTGGGTATATACCAGTAATGGGATTGCTGGGTCAAATGGCATTTCTGGTTCTAGATCCTTGAGGAATCGCCACACTGTCTTCCACAATGGTTGAACTAATTTACATTCCCACCAACAGTGTAAAAGCATTCCTGTTTCTCTGCAGCCTCACCAGCATCTATTGTTTCTTGACTTTTTAATCGCCATTCTGACTGGTGGGAGATGGTATCTCATTGTGGTTTTGATTTGCATTTCTCTAATGATCAGTGATGTTGAACTTTTTTTCATGTTTGTTGGCCGCATAAATGTCTTGAGAAGTGTTTGTTCATCTCCTTTGCCCACTTTTTGATGGGGTTGTTTCTTGTAAATTTAAGTTCCTTATAGATTCTGGATACTAGGCCTTTGTCATATGGGTAGATTGCAAAAATTTTCTCCCATTCTGTAGGTTGCCTGTTCACTCTGATGCTAGTTTCTTTTGTTGTGCAGAAGCTGTTTAGTTTAATTAGATTAAGCAATACTTTTTTCTACATACATACAACTTTTATTATTTTAGTAAGAATACTTAGCATGAATTCTACCCTCTTTAACAAATTCTTAAGTGTGCAATACAGTCTTATTAACGATAGGCACAATAAAATGTTGTGTTTTTAAGTGTTCTGAATGTAGTGAGAGAGCTTTGTGCTTGAAGTCAGAAGACCTAGGTTTGAACACTGGGTTCACCACTTAACCTTTCTATGTGATTTTGCAAAGGATTTTAAGTTCTTGGGGCCTTTTTTCTTTTCTTGTCTGTAAAATGGGAATAGTAATATCTAGTACACAGTGTCATTATGAAGATGAAATTAGATAACATACATGGGAAACCACCATATAAACTATAAAGCTTTAATAAATACAATGTGTTACATTTAAGGCATTCTTATTGTCCCACTTTGACCCTCTGTGAGAAACACCAATATACTGAAAATTTCCTTCCTGAATTGTTAGTTCTGGTGTGTGTGTTGGGGGGTGATTGGGGAGCATGCTATACTTGACTTCAACAGGTGCATAGCACTTCATTTAATTTTGCAGCAATCCTTTGAAACTGATTTTTTTCATTCCTAACTTTCCAGATAAGAAAACTGAGTCTGAGGGTCTTGGTAACTTACTCAGGGTCAGGGTGAGCTCAATCCCAGCGTTGTTACTGTGCCATCCTACTAACTTAGAGAACCACTTGGTTTCTTTTGAGTCCCAGGACCCTAGGGGTAAATAGAAATAAGCATATTTGTTTCATCATCTAAAGGAGAAAAGTATCAGAATAGTAGATTTGCCTTAACCTTGGGTAACAGCTTAACCTCAAAGATTCCTTTTCTGAGGTCTTAATAGAGGTCCTCTTTTACCTTTCCCAACAATAACAACAAAGTTTCCATTGTAATTAGTAAAGAATTGCAGTGACAAGTATTTAAGTATTTTATGGAATCAGTATTGAGCTCTGCATCTTGCATAATGGTTGTTCTCATGATAAATTGCCTCACGTAATTATTGGCCTAGCCACCACTTTCTCTTTGGATTCTTGACAACTATGGCAAGGTTTTCATCAGTGATTGATCAAAGATGCTATCACAAGACTTCTCTTTGATTTATACAGTTATTGTCTTCTTCATAATGAAAGAGCTTAACACCTGTATTGCCTTCTGGGAGTTATTGTGCATAATACATGTTATATAATACATAGTTTCGCAGACAATGTCCAATTCTGGAAAGATCTTTTCATTCCTTCAAATAATACGGGTATGTTTCTTCTGCTGAGTTCATTTGGCCTTAAATGAGTTGTGGCAGCTCTAGTAGGAACGCAGGACTAATGTATGTGGAGCAGTTAGCTCAGAACCTGGCACTATGTATATCAGCCGCTGCTGTTGTTACGTGATTTTGTCAAATCTTATCAGATGCTTCAGACAGTGGGTCTCAGAAAGTTAATCACAGAAATTTTACTTACCCAATGGTGCGAATAGCAGTGGTTCCAAGTTCAAGTGGCAAATAATTATTTACTACAGAGGACGGCCATAATTTTAGAAGGAAAGTTATGTGCATCTTTTTCATCTCTTCTAAAAATAAGCCAGAAGCAATGAATATAAGCTGGATTTCTGTTAAGACCAGACACTTTATTTTTGTTATATGTATAATTTGAAGATAGTCATGTGTATAATTAGAATAAAAGGTAAGTAGAATTAGCATAAGTTTAAAAGGTACCAGATATGCATGGAACTTTTATAAGGGATTATATTTTTCACAATTAAAATATTTTACATATTTTAAAGTATAATTATTTCTATAATTACATCTTGATGATATAAGGGATGTACATAATTCCATTTAAGAGGGCAGGTCTGATAGATCACACTTCATGGCTACCAAAATCAACAATATTACCACCTAGTGGCTGCTGAATTGAACTGCAAACACATGATCCTTGGGATCCACAAAGACCCTGTCTCAATAGCTAAAAATGATGGAAAAAGATAGTGAACGCCACTATAATTAACAACTTTAATGGGCCTTGATAACTGTTAATCACTGTAACACCCCAGCTCTGCTTTCAAACAGATTGGGAGAATAATGAGAATTTGCTTTTCCATTTATTGAGAAACTGAGCCTTGAAAAAGTCGTGAGCTGAGGCTAGAGAATGTGATTATTTAATTCCTTAATCCTTTTATTAATCTTCTGAATTGAGAAGTAGATCTACCTTTCCCTCCCAGTTTTTTTATTTAAATTTTGATTTATTTATAACATTTTTCAGTGAAAATTAAAAATGTGTATTTGAGTAGATCAGAACTGTTTTAAACAGAGATAAACTGGTTTTCTCGTTAAGGAAATATGCGATGTTAGTTAGTTCATGTGCTTTTATAAATTTAGCAAAACCTGAGTGCTCAACATTTAGAAGTGAAGTGCCAGTCCTGATAGCTCATCCTTACTCCATCTCAGAGTCAGGCATTGAGACCTTTGCTATTTACTACTTCCCCTTTCATCTTAGCATCCACCAACTTGTTGACATTCAAATTATTCATTGAAATAACCAAACCGTCTGCCCACTGAGCTCATTGCACCATCCCATTTCCTTGCTGAAATAAATAAAATGTGGCGTGAGTAATTGTAATATAGTAATTCTAGGGGAGCATAATATATTCAAGTAAGTAATGTAGAAAGCCACTAAAAAGTCTATTTGAAATTGCTCTTCTTCCCAGGAGGGCACTGTTCTCTCTTTAATATATTCTCTTTGGCTTCACGATTCTAGGATTAAGCCTAATTGCTAACATAATATATGTGCGTGATCGTTGCTTTCTTTAACTTAAGCTTCCTCTGGCATTGGTTTCTAGTTTGTAGTCATGACTGTGGCATTAATTGTAATTGGTCTGAGCTTCATGTGAAATAGGTTCCAGCGTGTTGACAGCAATTAATGGAGCTCCATAGTCCTGGGTAAGATTCAAGGGGTGGGTTTTGCATCTCTTTCAAATTGTTTTCTCATTGTTTCTGTTGTTGTCTCCTGGGAGACTATAATAAACAGGCTGGCTTTAGAATTGCACAAATCTGAGTTCAAATCTCTCCCCTACCTTTCTTTCTTTTTTTTTTTTCTCTTTTTGAGACAGAGTTTCGCTCTTGTTGCCCAGGCTAGAGTGCAATGGTGTGATCTCGGCTCACCACAACCTCTGCTTCCTGAGTTCAGGCGATTCTCCTGGCTCAGCCTCCCAAGTAGCTGGGATTACAGGCATGTGCCACCATGCCCGGCTAATTTCTTGTATTTTTAGTAGAGACAGGGTTTCTCCATGTTGGCCAGGATGGCCCCGATCTCCCGACCTCAGGTGATCTGCCCGCCTTGGCCTCCCAAAGTGTTAGGATTACAGGTGTGAGCCACCATGCCTGGCCCTCTCCCCTACCTTTCTGAGCTTGGGAAGCTTACTTCCTCAAAAAAAAAAAAAAAGCTGAGGTTCCCTCATCTCAAAGACAGAGGTAGTAATACCACCACCATAAGGTTATTGTGCCCATCAAACTTGCTAAAAAATGTCAGCCGTTTGACTATGGGTCTTTCTTTCATACTAGTACAGATAAACTTTTTCAAACTTTTACGTATTATTAGTTTAGGGCTTTCTGTGTTCTAGGCACTGTGCTGCATGTTATGAATACAATGATGAGCAAAAGGAACACAGTCTTTGCCTCTGGAACTTATATTTGCCAGTGGATATTTTATAATTATAGCCGATTGGTAATAGGAATCCACAGTGCATAACCAACCATCTCAAAACTTAGTAGGCTACAACAATGTATGCCTATCTCTCACAGTTTAATGAGTTGATTAGACTTAACTGGCTAGTTCTTGCTTCAGGTCTCCTGTGAAGTTGGAGTTAGATTATGGCTGGAATTGAAATCATCTGTAGGCTGCAGAGCCTCGGCTCGGGTGGATGGAGGGTGGGGCTTGGCTGGGCATCTCTGAGAGCCCGTGCAGTCACTCCACATGGCTTGCGCTTTCTCATAGCATGGTGGTCTCGCAGTAGTTAGCCTTCTTACATAGTTACTGGCTTTTTCCTGAGCAAATGTTCCAAGGAAAAGAAATTAGAAATTTCCTATCCTCTCAAACACTGGGAATGAAACATCACGTCACTGTTGTTCAGAGAAGTCACAGTCCAGTCCAGTTTTAAGGGAGTGAATAGACGCCACCGTTCAACTAGAGAACAGCACAAACATGCAGGGAAGGAAAGAGCTGATGATGGACATCTTGGAGACAAGCTACCACGGTGTCCTAATTGATCGTTCCTCAGATTTGTGTCTCTCGATATCTGGACTCTTAACTAGTGGGCTTTTTTACTTGACTTAGTCCATCAAGATTTATAAAACTGACCATTTGTGCTTGCCCTAGGAAAATGGATTGTATAATCTTTAAGTGTGAGATAAATAGCAAAATACATATCTGTTCTGGTTCTCGTAACTCCTTCAGGATGGATGGTATTTCCAGGAAACAGGATTTTCTCATTCTCCTGAATCACTCTCTGTGTTACTACACAGAAGGAAATATACAGCTTCATAAATACTAGCCTCACGAACCCAGTTCCACAAAGCGATTCACATGTTACATGCCTACTGAAACACACAAGAACCATCACATCAGCCAGAATATATTTCCTAGGACTTTAATATAAAGTCCCATTTGCTGCAGTTTTCTACTCCGCTTCTTCTGAGATGGAGTGATGGAATGTGTAGAAATAGTTAAAAGCCATTTCTAAATCAACATTGAAAATATTTTTTTCAATTAGTTTATCTACCAATGTTATGTTCCCAAAAATATAGATAAGAAACCAGAATCTGGAATTTATATTAAAGTTCATGAGTTTTGATTACATGTTCCAGGTGGATCAATCTGAAATACAAGCCTTACTTTAAAATAATGGAATGATTCCCTTGGATATATGAGACTTCTTCTCCAGGGACACACTACATATACTCTGAGATTAAAACACTGTGTGTTTTGTCTCTCTATATTTCTCAAACATATTAAATGGACAATATCCAAGAGGCATCTAAGAAGGAATAAGCTAGAAAAGTAGCCTGTATTGTTTCCCACGAACTGTGATGATCCAACCCAAGATCAATGAGCTGTCAGAAAAAGTGGGGGAGAAGTTCCAAGCAAAAATATCTAAAGTAATAGCCAAGGGGATAAAGAAAACCACTGGCTGGATAAACGGTGATAAATGCTGGTGGTTTGTTTGTTTTTAAATTTTGTTTCTGTCTGTAAGTCCCTCTTTCTGTGTAATACAAACTCTTGTACTGTGTGACACTCCTGTGTCTATCTTTCAAAGACTGGGGAGGGTGGAATGAGCAATTATCTGTTCTTCTTTAAACAACGATTCTCCCACTGTTTAGAATTTAAACAGTGTGTGCACATTTTCTTTTCGGTATTTCAGTTGTCCACAGTTACAGTCCACTCAATGTTCTGTACAAATGGGGCATGATGACCCACTGGCACAGCTTCCTCTCATGTTTGTACCATTTCCATACCCTCCCCTCCCTCCTGGACACCTGTGCTAATCATCCAAGGACTGCCTCCCACCCACACGACTGCCTGTCCTCATCTTTGCCTCCTTGGCACTGAACGAAATAGCCAAGCTTCTGAGATCCCTGGAACTTGCCTGTGTGTGGAATCCCACATGCTCTAAAATGCCTTTCACACAGCTACTCTGTTTTTGAAGCAAAGTGATTTTAGTCATTTGTACGCAGTTATGTGCAGAGATGAGAGGTTTTGGGCATGCTGTTAGGTCCTCGGTAGTATCTTGAATGTGCTGATACCGGGTGATTACAATCTTCTAGTAGTGAGAAGGGAAAAATAGAGCTGCGTGGAGCTAGATATTCAAATAATATCATATCATGGCTCCTCCTGGGAATATGATCATCCTTGAAGTGACTTAGTCCTCACTCCTCTCCAGAAAAAAAGCCATTTCTTCCTCCAGCTTTCTCTGCCCTCTCACCACCACAGCCCCTTTGGTCTGGTTAAATCTGAGCCACACAGATGCTCACTAAGGGCTAAAACAACAGTGGCAAGAGGAGGCCAAGTTAATGGGTGAGCAGCACCCTAGACTGGGAGTGCTGAGTTTCGCCCACAGACCTCAAGCTGCCCCCAGCCCATTCTGCTTTGGATTTCAGGGCTGCAGCTCTCCTCCCGGGGAGGATTCATCACTTCTTAGGTTTGTTCAACACTAGTTTCTTATGTTGCCAATATGTGGCTCTGCAAATAAATGCTCACAGGGAAAAATCGGAAATTGGTCTTATTGACTTAGCGGTGTAGATCTCCCTCCCATCAAGTATACAGTTCTTCAGTGTACCTGTAGTTAGTTCTGGATAATTATAAGCAAATTAACAAGGATTTTTTACATTGTTGTTTCCCATTTCATGACTAAGTTGCTGCCATTAGCACCATACCTGTGAGCTAAGCAGTGGGGAGGTTGATTTTTTTTTTTTCAAGCCTAATCTTATTTTGAGGAGAAATCGGTTCTCAAGAGAATCTTCTCTCTCAATCCTACTTCCAGGACACTGATGGGTGCAAGCCATTATTGATTTCCACAGTCTGTCAAGAGTATAAATGAGAAGTCTGAGTCTCTTGTCTCAAGAAGCCAAGCTTCTGATGTAGGCAGATAAAAGAAACTATGTTTGGAGTAGCTTATCATCATTAACAACCATAAGCATTTCCTGGCTAATGGCTCTTCACATGTAAAGTGCCCTGCTGTGGAATCCGGGGGCTTCAGGTCCCTTGTGCTCAAGTTGTTTACAGTCCAGTCTACGAGACAAGCAGAACACTAAAATGGGAACTAGTGTAGCAAATGCCAAGCATCCAGTGAAGTCTGAAAGGGCTAGAAGTTCACCTGAACACAGTTGTCCTTGCTGCCAACGCCTGAAGGGTGGGTTGGTGCTGACGCTCCGTGGTTGAGACTTTTACGTGAATGGTTCAAAATGTCCTGTCCTCAGGGAGAGGGGTTCCAGTTCTGCTGGGAGTGGGTGGGCAGGGTGCAGAAAGCGGTAGACCCGAAGCTGCCTGTGAGAAGCCAGCCGCTGGAACCCATCTTTGCTTGGCTTGCTGGTCCTTGGCTTTGATCTGGGGGCACTTTCTCATGAGAGTTCTTCCTAGTCCTCCTCTGTCCCATGTGACAGGCTCCTCCCAGTTTGGTCCCGTTTCAAGGGAAATGAGCCGTTTGTCCAGTCACCATCTCTGGGCTGTGTAAACAAGCAGATGGGCAATTAGTGGCTGTGTCAGGGCCTTGGACTGCTGCTGTGCTTGCACAAATGGAGACTCATCACTCATCTTTTGGACTATCGTCGTGCAAGCATGAGATAATGGGGACTGCTGGGCTCTCGAGATTTCTTCATGTTGTTTAGATTTCAGTCTTCGTGTCACAATCCTATTGTTCAAGCGTTCTGGCAACAGCCACTGTCATTCAGCTCATTTGGGAGAAAAAATAATAATTTGGATTCTGTTGCCTTGATTTTTTTCTCATTAAACCATTTTTTAACGAGCAGGAAGTAGGACCAAGGCATAGAGATCTGTAGGGTAATATCTTTCCTTAATTAGCCAAATGCTGACAACAGAGGTCACCCAGTTGCAGGAGATTTTTGCCCTCCCGCTTTAAGCGGGGCTTTAAGCGGGCATGTGTGTTGTACACACAGGCTGGAGGCCAGGAGAGGACAGAGCCTGCAGTCAGGTCACTCGTAACCCCACGGCTGCTGCTGTTTGTGTTTACTTGAGCATTTCACTGCGCCTGCTATGTTTTCCTCTTGGATCCAGAATGCCAAGAGGGTCCCTTCAATCTGCCATTTATCTCCTCTTGAGATGCACAGAAATCGGGCACCAGTTGCTCAGTCTCCAGACTGTTCTCAGCATCAGACAATGGCCCTGTGTTTCCTTTGCTCTTTTTCCATACATTGGCCTCACCTCTCCGATTTTTTTTCTTTCTCCCCTTCCGCTTTTAATTTTTTCTCTCTTACCTCGGTTTGAGCGTCTGCCTTCTTTCATAGCTTTCTGTTTTCTCTCAGCATCTCCTCCACCCCCTTATGTTTTCAGTTTCTTGTGACTCGCTCTCCAGATTCCTTCATATTCAGGAATCACTGTCTTTGCCCAACATTGTTGTGAACGTGCCGGCCTTTTATTGTGGTTGTTCATCCCTTTCCCTCTTGCCTTCATTGCTCCCCGAGCCCTCCACCTCAGCCTCCTAAAACCTTTGAAGTTCTTCAGACTGGAAGTGTCTCTGGATCATGCTACATAAATGAGGCAATAGCACTTGGGATCCATTCAGCATGAGGACTGTGGAAATGATAGTCTTTCTCCCATTTTGCCCTAGGATGGGCATCTGTTGATGGGCAAGGAATTAACAGAGAGCACATCCCATTCTCTGTGACCAATCACTACTATTCTTTTTCAGTTGTTCATTCAGCATTTATAAGTTATCTACTATATGTGAGACTCTGAGGAAAAAAAGAAGAATCAGACACTATTCCAGTCTAAAAGACCCTATATATCTGACGCAAAATCTTACTCCACCTTTCAGGAGCATTAGATATAGCTGATCAAATGATGGATTGAAAACTCCTCCTTGCTTTAGGTCCTAACCCTCTTTTGTCTTCTCTCTACTTCATGGGCATTCCTCAATCTCCTAAGCTGGTTCTTCATCTTCCCAATCTCTAAACACAAGAGGGCTTCAGGACTCAGTCCATGAACCCCTTGCCTTATCACTGGGGTTGCTGAGGTGCATAGAACCTTGAGACTTTCTGATGGATCAAGCATATAATAAAGAGACTGAGGGAGACAAGAGAAGTCACTGTCGCCAGAGTTAGATTCACTGCCACCGCCACCCCCAGGAGCCGCCAGAACCCTTATGTCGCCACCACCACCCAGATCCCTGCACCATGACATCAGAGAAGACCTTCAGGCCACACCACACCTTTGAACAAAGAGTAGAAGTTTGACTTCTCCGAGAGCAGCATCCACCCAAAATCTTGGTAGTAACAGAACGATACAAGGCTGAGAAGCAGCTTCCCGTCCTGGATAAAGCAATGTTCCTTGTACTGGACCACATCAACCTGAGTGAGCTCATCAAGATCATTAGAAGGTCCTTCCAGCTCAGTGCTAATCAAGCCTTCCTCCTGGCGGTGAACAGACACAGCATTGTAGCAGAGTGAGAAGGATGAAGATGGATTCCTGTACATGGTCTGTGTCTCCCAGGAGACAATTGGAATGAAATTGTCAGTGTAAAACTGAAAAAAAAAAAATGCATCTATTTTAGAATTTTTAAACCTTTACCAAGGAAAAAATAAAGGAATGTTACCCACTGAGATCGATCAGTTCATCTAATCACAGATCGTCAAACAGTAGTGTTCCCACCTAGGAGTGTCAGGAAGTTGTGTTTGTATTTGAAGCAGAAAACTGGGCTCCAAGTGAGCACGTTCAGCTTTGGAAACTATGTTATTTAACATAGGCTAGCTTGTTTTCAGATTTTAAAAGTTTAAAAAGAAAATACTTTGCATTCTAAAAAAAAAGAGAGAGACTGAGGGAGATGTATGCTCAAGCAATGGGTGTATCCTCTTGTTCTTCACCAAACAAGGGGAAAGTTTTACATTCATTTACATTCATTTTACAAGTTTGTAAGACATATACAGCTTAGGGAGAAAAATATGAAGGCCTCGGTTCTGGGGAGAAAGCATGCGGGCATTTGTAGTACTGAGACTAAAAGTAAGGGGAGAAAGAGTTGCTGAGGTAAAGCTAAGTTAGAATATGAATTATTGCTACTATAAATGACACTAAATAGAACCTGTGAAAAAGGAGAAAATGTGAACTATACTATCCTCCTAAATAAAAGTAAATTATGATACCAAAAGCTTTTAAAAGTTTTGCCATTCCCAAACCGCCATGCAGTTGGCTTTGTGACTTTGGACATTCTCAGAGGGAAGGCATCACCTTTTAGAGTTTGTGAATTTGAATGAGTTTGGGTTTGTTTGGAAGCAGAGCTACATCAGAAATCTAGTCCCTTTCTTCCTAAAAGCACAAGGCTGCTAGTGAGCAGCCTTGTAATCCCAGCTGTGAGCAGTCGCTCACACCTGTAATCTCAGGACTTTGGGAGGCTAAAGTGGGAGGATCACCTGAGGCCAGGAGTTCAAGACGAGCCTGGGCAACATAGGGAGGCCACATCCTACAAAAAATTTTAAAAACTGGCTGGGCCATGATAGCATGCATCTGTAGTCCCAGGTACAGAGAGGCTGAGGTGGGAGGAACACTTGAGCCCAGAAGATTGAGGCTGCAGCGAGCCATGATCATGCCACTGCACTCCGGCCTGGGTAACAGAGTGAGAACCTGTCTCAAAAAAATAATAATAATAAAATAAAAACAGAAAAAGAAGAACAGTGTGAAAGATAATGCATGAAAAGCTCTTTCTTTCTTATTTTCATGACTTTACAAGCTTCACTTTCTGCCTTCCCATTTTGTACCACACAGACATTTACCACTGGGAATCTTCCTTGTCTGTGTCCCAAGGTTATCTGAACACCAAAGTTACACTTAAGAAGGAAAGGTTGTCAACTCAGGAGGATTGAAATAGAATTCCCTTGGAATCACCCCATAACATCTATTTGAAAACAAACCCTTCCAAACCATCACATCATGGAAATCACAGTCCATGGTGAGAAAACTGCCAAGTTTTTGAGGTTGCAACTTAGAACACACACCAAAAAAGTGTGTCTTCATCTCCAAGCATCTTTGGTTTGGAAATTGGGATAATAGGGCATCTGATCAGGCTTCCTCAAAGAATATCCAGTATTTTCCCGGCTTCCGGCAGCAGAAACCTGGTTGGTGGTCTAAGCCAGGAAGAAAAAGATATTTCACTTTGGAAGAGGAAAATAATTCTAAGTTTATTTTTTTAGAGCCACGATTTAGAAAAAATAATAAAATAAGAGATGCCTCGTATTTAAAATCAGTTTTCATTGTATCTGAATAGTCTGCTTTCCCTTGTTCATGAGTATCTGTGATTACGTGGTCAGGCCTGACACGTATCCCAGCTAGGCTGGGTGACATCCCTGTGTCCTGCCCTCTCCTCCAGCTCTTCCTCATGGGCCTGCTCACTAGCAGCCTTGTGCTTTTAGGTAGAAAGGGACTGGATTTTCTGATGTTGCTCTGCTTCCAAACAAACCCAAACTAATTTAAATTCACAAACTCTAACAAAGGTGATGCCTTCCCTCTGAGAGTATCCAAAGCCACAAAGCCAAACTGCAATGGCAGTTTCAGAACAGCAAGACTTTTAAAAGCTTTGGTGTCATAATGTTATCATTTTGAAGGGTTCACCTGAATAAAAGCCTTAGATTTCTCTGTGTGGTGAATATGAAGCACCCATTCTAAAATTAACCAAGGTGATCAGAGGGAACTAGGGCTTCTCCCCTTTAAACAGTGATTCTGTTTTCAAGATCAGTGGAAATAAGAAAAAGATGGAAAACTATTTGTTCAAAGAAAGGTACTACCTAGATTACCTTTATTTTCTCACTTCTTGCTGCTGCTGCCTTGTCTTAGGGAAAAATTGCTGAAAATAATAACGGTGGGAGTAAGAGAAGGCTAAAAGGGAGATGAGTTTCAGCCACATTTGGAGAAAGGAAGAATTAGATGAACAGAGCTTGGATGATGGCAGTCGGTTTCTTTGTTTGGAGGAACTATTAATAGTCTTGATTTAGCCCTTGAGCTCCTGTTTTCTGTCTTTTGTTTGTGTTTTATCTGTCTGATTTTTTCCTCCTTGAGGCAGCTTGAAATGTGAAAGGGCAAGGGAACAGAGCTAACGTAGGGTGGAAACATGGTTATATGTAATTAAGGTCTTACTTCCTCAATTTGCTACTACTGAAGCCCAAGGGAGACCAAGTTCTGTTCCACACACCATGTGAGAGGAAGAGGTTGACTAAGATGAGCTAGGCAGTTTTATCAGCTTGTTGGTCAAGGGATGTAGGATCCTGAGATGGATTCAATATTTTGGTTGATATTAACAGAAATATAATTTTTAATTTTTTCCCGAAGAACCAGACAGAAGTTTAAGAAAAGAGTTTACCATCCAAGAATTTAATTTGCTTTTCATCAGAGTATGACAAAACAGGCATGCTAGGGTCCAGCCTCAACTAACCCAAGTTGGTGAAAGGAAACAGAACTGAATTGGAAATAAATGCCAGGAGGTTCTGAGAATCAGAAAAAATGATGAGAAGGGTCAGGGTGAAGATGACAAAGGGCGATGGTTCTCAAAATCCTGCTGCAGTGTGAGAAGTAGCTGCCTTTTAGTGTAAGGTCTGGGCTTATGGAGGAACCCAAGAGAGTAAGAATGGAGTCAGCAAATTCATATTTAAATGAATATGCCCACATTCCTTTGCCCTATTGATTCCAGAAGTTGAAATTGTGGCCTTTAATGTGTTTAAGCCCTTAGATCATTTGCTAAGAGTTCAGGGGGAAAAAAGCAGCTGGTTCATCTCTGGTATTTTCAGATGGGTTTTCTTTACAGAAGTTACTCATAAGTGGTATTTTCAATGGAGACCTTCAGAAAAAAGATGCTTGGATATCTCATCAGGTTTCAGAGAAGTGTTCAGACTTGTTAACCCTTTTAACTCAGCTAAATGTCCATTAAACCATAAAACAAAGTCCATTACACTTTTGGGCCGGGGACTTGAGTGACTGACTCACTCACCCTGGGATGTTGCTCATCTCCTGTATGGACTAATATTGGGGCTTATTAGATCATGGGGGTCAGAAGGCTCACTTCCTCTGTGCTTGGATGCTGGGGCTGTTTTGATGCTAGTTGGCTTTCTGTGGGTCTTCTCCCTTATCAGTAGAGGATACACCCCACTTCTCCAGATGAGTCCCTTATAAAACAGCTGCTGCTTCATAAGACATTCCCTTAACCCAAGCCCTTTCCTCCCTATCAGTTACACTAATTGCAGATCAAAACCATTTCCCCCCACCTCCCATTACGTATTTTCTACTTATCCTCTAAGAAAAGAATTACAGGTTAGGATTACTCTAGAAGTGGTAGCTGTCAGTAGAGGAATGACATCCTAAAATATGACCATTAGAGACAAGAAGAAATTAGAAAGCTAGCATGCAGTGGGCATTTAATAAACAGCTGCTGGGAGTGGTGGCGGTGGAGAAGAGCAGAGCAGAGGAGGAGGGGAGAAAGGAGGAGTTGTAAAGTGGGAAAAAGGAGCTAACACTTTAGAAGGACAAAATGGCGGCAAAAAAGTCTGTCCCTTGGTTTTCTCCCATTGACAAATCTAAGACTGATGATGTCTACCCTACTTCCTACCTCTCACAAAACAACATTAGAAGGCAACATATTTAGGTAACCCGGGGTCATAAAGGAGAGTTGAAATAGAAGCTTCAGCAAATAACCCCCGTATCATCAGGCCTTGGATTATCAGCAATTCCAAGCACTACCTGAGTCTCCATCTCAAAAAGCTCTTCCTTCTGCTGGCTGGAGTGCAGTGGCGCGATCTCAGCTCACTGCAACCTCCACCTCCCGGGTTCAAGCGATTCCCCTGCCTCAGTCTCCCAAGTAGCTGGGATTACAGGCACTCACCACCATGTCTGGCTAATTTTTTGTATTTTAGTAGAGACAGGGTTTCACCATGTTGGCCAAGATGATCTTGATCTCCTGACTTCATGATCTGCCCGCCTCGGCCTCCCAAAGTGCTGGGATTACAGGTGTGAGCCACCGCACCCAGCCCCCTCTGCCTTGAAAATACTCACAGCATCATCTCAACAGCCAATACACTGAAACCCCTCTCCACACTGAAGCACAGTTGTCTGTGAAGAAAAATTAGGGAAGCCATAGAGGAACAATAGCTCCTTTGCAAATTACAGCTTCATCAGAAGGAAAGTTGAGGCAGGCATATAGTATTTTATTTTATACACCACAAACAGACAACCCCTAGACTTGGAATTCAGAATTAACAAAAGCATTAAATCCATCGGGCTTTGAGAAGGGTCAATGTTTTTTCATATGTCTTCCCTGCTACCATTATTTGCATAACAAATCGCTGCAAAATGCATTCATGTCAGATGTTGGAAATAAACTCTTTGGGGTATAGCTATTTTTAAACAACCCATAGTTATACGGGTGTTTTTAAAACATTCAAAGCCTGAGTTTGTGTTTCAAATCATAAGTGATCACAGGAACTCTATATTGTTGGTCTGGTGCTGACCTACAGAACAGAGTCTGAAGTCCCTCAGAAATGATGATGTTTTAAAGAGTTACAAAAGTTCACATTGGCTGTAGATTAAAGCCCTGTATTTCTAGGCAGGTACACAGAAATCCCTGGTGCCAGTTTCTACCTCCACTTTGGAGAGCATTGAACTTTCTTTGCAAATATTCAAAATACTTCCCCACCAGAAGATTTTACTTACTGACACCGGGAACAGGCATCCCCACCCACATTCTTCATCCTTAAGAATCAGAAGTTAGAAAAAAAAAAAAAAAGGCTGCATTCTTTGAGATTATTTGCATGAGTGGATTATTTGTGTCAGTCTCTGAGAGATTATCTTCATAGTCTCTAGTCTACTTGTCCAAGCTTACTATTCCCACAAAAGATTTTTCCTGTGGTCTAGGGAGTCTCATGATTGCCTCCCTGGACCTATGCAATACCAACCTCCCCACCCCACACACACTTTCCTCCCCTGCAGCCTCTGCAAAGCCCTGGCTCCTGGGGCTCCTTGAGCTTGGACTGCCAGCTCCACTTCCCGTGTTCTAGGCAAGCAGCAAATACCCTTCAAAACTGCCATCAAGCCCCACCTGTTTTATAAAAACTTCCCAAGCTTCCATGATATGTGCGTTATATTATTAGCAACGGTATTAGCCAGGTGCCTGTATTCCCAGCTACTCGGGAGGCTGAAGCAGGAGAATCACTTGAATCCAGGAGGTGGAGGTTGCAGTAGCCGAGATCATACCACTGCACTCCAGCCTGGTTGACACAGCGAAACCCTGTCTCAAAAAAAAAAAGTAAAAATAATATTAGCTAACATTTATTTAATACTCTCAGCCAAGTTTGATACTAAGTAATATCTCATTTCTCATTGAATAAAAAAACCCTTGAGGAAAGCACTATTATTATCTCCATTTTACAAAGGAGGAAATTGAACTCAGATGGGCTGGATCTATGTGACTTAAAGGAGGACCTCAATCAGGACAGGTTAAGAATCCAGCATGGGGGTTTGGTGCCTTGGACTAGAGTGGTTGAGTAAGTGGCGGGAGATTATAGTGGTGGGGGGTGTTTGGAGGATACAAACCACTAGACTTTTTGGTGGCTTGGATCCTGCCCTCCCGATCTGAAAGGTTACATTTCATCCCGTCTTTAGATGTCATTTGCACTACTTGAACACTCCCCAGGGCCCTCGCTGCTCCTACCCCTAATTGATTTCCACCTTTCTTCATATGTGAGTTCACATGATGACGTCTCCTCGGACAGGGAGGGCTTTTCTTACATATACTCCTGGGAAAATTAGGTTTCTACTCAATAATATAACTGCCCCTCTTTCTGTTACCTCTGTGGCACTTCTTTCAATTTTTAAATATTTGAGAAATTACTTAGCTGATACGAGAGGGAAGATGTCTATTTCACACTTTATTTATAGTATCCTCTTTACTTACCATGCAGTGGTACTCAGTGAAATACAGGTTGAAGCTGTCCAAAAAAGGAAAGAATTTAAAGGAGTTCCTCCTCATTTAGATCATAAATGGAATGGAATTCCTTCATAAAAGCAAATTCATCTAGAGGTGAAAACAGGACTCAAAAAGGAAAATTAAACTATTTCAACCACTATCTCACCAAAAGAACAACTCCAAAAATGTGATCTGGAGGGAAAAACAATCAAACTAATGAAGAAGAGAAGACAATGAGTCAGGAGTGACTATCCCTTACAATAGGGGTGATTATTTTTAAAAATCTGTCTTTATCTAATGGTCAGTGGCACTCAGTTATATGGCCAGACACAAGAATTAGAAGATTTTAATCTCCTGTCATTTGTTATTTCATATCCAATAACTTCATTTACTTTTTTTTTTTTACTTTATTTTTGGTCTTTGGCCTTCCAGATCCCCCAAATTTTGGATAGCCTGAATGTGGGATGATCCTGTATTCAGAGAAGTGAATTTCCCTTCACTAGTCCATTTGCTTTTAAAAATAAAGAAGACATTAAAATGAGTTGCAGATATAAGTAATCCTTATTTAGTTATTTTGCTTTCTCAACCAGCATAAGGTCTCTACATAAGGACAAAATTTGGATTCAGTACCTCCTAACTCTGCCACGTGGGAGAAATGTGTCCCCCCTCATTTCTGTGTGGGTATTTGTCTAAATCTTGTCTCCCTTCCCACTACTGAGGTCTCACAACTTGAAGAGTTCTATCTAGATATAGAACATGGTTATATATGCTGGTAACAAAATAGTTGTAACTATTTTCCTCACTCACGAATCTTACCCTTTAAACAGGTAAAAGAGTGATTTACATGGATTGGCAGGAGTCAGAGAATCCTTATTGCTTTTGTAAGCTGAGACAATATGCCCAGTCCATACCAACACCAAATAAGGTATCTTGGAATGTGATTGCATCCATATGCTTTCAGCTCATGCAATATAGGCACAGAGAACCAATTTTAGGAAACTGGCCTCAAAGGAAGGCACGGGCTCTTGATTAGATTCCCACCATTCTACTCCAGCAGCCACATATAGAGCCCTTAATATTAATTTTAATGTAAGTTGGAGGAAATTTTCCAATCTTTGAAAACTATCTTTCACCCCCCTCTCCTGGGGGCCTGTGTTATTCACCAGCTAGAAACACTAGCAGCTGGAAGCAGAAGATGGCTTGTCTAGTCCTCCTGGATGCATGCATTTAAAGAGCTGTAAGGTTGACAGAACTTTCGCCGGAGCGCATGTTTTTAACTTAGTAGGAATAATAGCTTGGTCTCATAAACTGTTGTGCCATCTTAGATTATATATTGCATGGCAAATTTTTGTTATTGGGTATTTGTCTAGTTACATCAATATTAACTAGAGTAGACCTTGAGAAAGCAGAGAAGGAAATTTTGCTTCATTTGGGCTGGAGTTTTGCTATCCAGTTTCTGAGTTCTTGCACATTGCATTTTGAGTCTGTCACCAAATGACCTGCCTCTTGCTCCAAGTAAACAAATACTGACATTCTTGCCATCCACCAGTGTCTTTCCTCTAGGGGATGACAAAACATTCGATGTGTAGCAAATATACATAGGTGCCAGCAGATAAAGAGTTTTGCCTTAGGTCATCTACCAGGAAATATTATATTTTACCTACCTATCTCCCTGTTCACTGGGAGGAATTCTGAAATCCTTAAGTAAAAGACGTTGAAACTACTAACGTGTTCCTTTGTTGTATCAATATTTCTAGTAGTCGGAATGTATGCTTTCTATTCCCAGTAATTTTATTAGGTTACTAAAAAAATATGATTTGGTTAAGAGGGAACATGAGCCAAGTGGTAGGGCTAAATCCCTTCTTCTGTCTGAGTCGTGACAATATTTTAACCGCAAATGTTTATCTTTCATCCTCAGGGGAGATGAGTAGCCTCTTTTTTGAATCATCCTCTGCAGAGTGCAGTAGATGCAAAGCAGTACTATTATCCAAATTGTTAGCTCTTACAGCCAAGCTAGAGTCTATTCACTGTTACAAAAACCCAGTGAGAAAAAAAAAAAACATGCTGAATGATAAAGAATTACAAAATCACATTTCAATTAGCTCCATTAATTTGGAAAATGGAATTTCCCTTTGTACGACTTGGAGTAATCAAAATTTACCAAATTAAGAAGAAATTCTGACATTCTGCACTACAGAAAGGATGAACCATATTGGGCTTACCATTCTGCATCCTAATTTTTAATATCTATTGATGTTGATACATATGGATCTAATTACTTTGTCTCTTTTTGAAACAGAGTCTTGCTCTGTTGCCCAGGCTGGAGTGCAGTGGTGCAATCTGGGCTCACTGCAACCTCCGCCTCCTGAGTTCAAACGATTCTCCTGCTTCAGCCTCCCACGTAGCTGGGATTACAGGTACCTGCTACCATGCCGGCTAATTTTTGTATTTCACCATGTTGGTCAGGCTGGTTTCAAACTCCCAACCTCAAGTGATCCACCTGCCTTGGCCTTCCAAAGTGCTGGGATTACAGGCATGAGCCACCACACCCAGCCTGGGTCCGATTCCTTTTAACCACTATACATTATTCAGTTGTGTGAATAAACCATGTTTTTCTTTATCCATACCTCTTTCACTTCATGTTCTTAAGTTAGTCACATCATTCTGGACCTCTGCTATAAAGGAGAGCCAGCAATCTGTATGTCCTTTTTTTTTTTTTCTTGAGACGGAGTCTTGCTCTGTCACCCAGGCTGGAGTGCAGTGGCGCAATCTCCGCTCACTGCAAGCTCCACCTCCTGGACTCACGCCATTCTCCTGCCTCAGCCTCCCGAGTAGCTGGGACTACAGGTGCCCGCCACCACGCCAGGCTAATTTCTTTTTGTATTTTTAGTAGCGACGGATGTTAGCCAGGATGGTCTCGATCTCCTGACCTGATGATCCACCTGTCTCGGCCTCCCAGAGTGCTGGGATTACAGGCATGAGCCACCGCGTCCGGCCTGTATGTCCTTTCTTCATTGGGTCGTTAAAAAGATGAACAAGACAATAATGTGAAATGATTATAACTCTTTTGTTAGAAAGTGGTACAAACATGAAAACTAATGCTATTTTCTTATATGTTATGATTTTCATCTAGAACGACAAGATTCCTTGATCATTCTTTGTTTTATTTAAGTGAATAGTAGGTAATAATCCATTTGTGAAAGTGATGGGAATGTAAAATTAGACAAATGTGATTAGCTGGGCCTTACCGCCACAAACTCTGCTCAAGATAATGCTGCCGAGACCCAAAGACAATCATTTTGTTGCTCATAAATGACAGTTTAAGCTGGTGAGTGGCTGAGGTCCAGCATTCTCCTTGGTTCCTAGATGGACGGTAAAGCTGCTTGGACCATAATTTTCCATCTTTCTTCTTGGAAAGAGTGACTGGAGGCCACTCAGTAAAGTGAACCTTGGAAATAAGACTTCTGTCTCACACAACCTGTTCATGAAAGGGAGCTATAAAAATAAACGCATATTCAGAGCCTAATGGAGACGTGGCAACAGGCCTGAGGACATGCCATCCCTGAATCCCCTCCTCTGATTCTCCTGTAGTTCTACTTAGTTTCAGAACAAGATGAATGCATCAGTTGTAGGCAAACATCAGTTGTGTGTGTTTTCTCAGCTTGTTTATTTAGAAAGTAGTTGAAGGAGATAAGAATGAGTAGCTTTGGAAAGAGCCAGCGCTAGGAAAACTGGGAAGGACATAAGAGAATAGCATTTCCACAGCTAAGATGCTATCTGGAAGCCGCCTGGAATATTGTAATGATAGTGTGAGATCATGTAGTGTTCTAATAGAAGGTGGGTCTCTCTTCGTTCCTACATACAAACTCCAAAGCAAACTCCTAGGTGGGTATGACTTAAGAATGGAGCAAAGCATTAGCATTAAATGGCAAGAAGTCTGGATTAAACATAGATGAAGAGAGACTCCCTTGTTGTTCTCACTACTTTCCTGGTTTCTCATTAAATTGGTCTGCGCTTCCCTGGGGTCCTTTGATTCTGTTTTTGCCCTCTTTTCACTAAATCTTCCTTTAATTTCCTTTGGTTTGATCTGATGACATTAGCCCTTTCCATCAGTTTCTGAGCATACCCTTTTGGCTTGTTTCCTCTTTCTCCTTAAATCTCAGGGCAGCGTTTTTCCCCCAGGGAATTCGATCTCAGTGTCTTTCAACACCTTCACTGTTGGCCTGTAGCCTCTCAGGCTGCGCTAAGCAGGGCCCTGGAGAGTCTTCCACTCTCCCTGGAGAGCTGCTTCTCTATGGGCTGTGGGACACTTGACCTCACGTGTCTCCCCACCACCCTTGTGAAAGAAGCAGCCATTAGGCCCTCTTGACATGTGTGGGAAGCACTATTCTGAGAAACACTCTAGGGACCCCACTGCTAAGTCAGTGATAGATTTTGACATCCAGAGGGAGGGTCAGCTCCCTTGAGTCTCACTTTGAGTGATTTCTAACTACTATTTCCATCATTCGAGTTTTGTTATCCAAACAGCCTTATCCAAAATGTGCTGTTATTACTACCAGTGTCATTGTTGTTTGACCTCTCAAAACTACTTATTCTAAACAACATCTCGCACACTGATTTTATATGTCAGGTCTAATACAATTTGGGGAAAAGGTTACTGAGTACCTAATCTTAACCATTCATTCTTTATGAATAGGCCCACAGTGTGTCAGATATTGTGCCGAGCAAAGATAAGAGACGGTCTCCCGGCTTAAAGATCTCACAACGTAGTCAGGAGAGCCAATCCTAAACAGACAACTGTATAATAGGGGAATGGCAATGAAAAGGGTAATAGAGAAAATTTCTTCAGCCCATTTTTGAGAGTCAGCAGTGTGTCAGGTACTGTGCCAGGCATAGTTTATATAGTCATGAACAGGACAGATAAACTTATAATTAGCAAGCGCAAGAGACAAAAGAGCAAATAAGTAACCCATTGTATAATTACAAATTGTGGAAAGTTTAGGTTTGGCTGAAGAGGGCTGGTATTAAGAAACCTACTTTAAAAGAGTAGGGAGAGTAGAACAGTGATGACATTTAAGTCTGGGAAGGAGCCAGTTATAGGAAGCATAGAAGAAAAACACATCGTACGCAGAAAGAACACCATGATTGGCAGCCCTGAGGCAGCTGAGAGCTTGGCATACTGAGAGATTAAGATGGGCGAATACAACTAGAACTAGGGCAGACCACCTAGGCAGGGCCCTGAAGATCATGAGACGGAATTTGGATTTTATTCTACAGGAAGCCTTAAAAGAATTTGTAAAATGAAAGTAACCTGACTACATTCATGTTTTAAAAGATTATTCTGGTTGCTGTGTAGACAAATAAATGCACAGAGGCAAAAGTAGATAAGGAAGTTACTGAAGTAGCTCAGGTGAAAAATGAGCATCTTGGACCAGGCTGGTGGAAATTGAGATGGAAAAGTATGGATGAATTCAAGACTATGTTTTTGAAGTAGAAAAGACAGGAATTGGATTTAAACGTAGGAGTTGTACAAAAGGAGGAGCCAAATCCCAGGTTTTGATCATCTTAGTGAATGTCGATGCTATTTACTGAGGTGACTCAGACAAGGAAAGGAACAAATTTGTGTTATGGTAGACAACTCAGGGAATAATTGGAATTCCTGGACAGCTATTCATGTCAGGATGTTCAGCAGAGCAGGGGAAATGCAAATCTGATGTTGAGAATGTAGTTTGGAGTTGATGATAGAGATTTGAGATTCATCGGCAGAACGAGAGTAGCTGAATTTATAGCTAATTATAAAACAGAGGGCTGGGGCACGGTGGCTCACACCTGTAGTCCCAGCTACTCAGGAGGCTGAGGTGGGAGGATCACTTGAGCCTAGGAATTGGAGGCTCCAGTGAGCCTTGATTGCACCACTGTGCTCCAGCCTAGGTGACAGAGTGAGACCTTGTCTCTTAAAAGATAGAAAAGAGTCTAGAGAGCGGGCCTTGGAGCCTGAATATATTTAAGAGGGAGAAGAAGAGCCAGTGGCGGGAACAGAGCAAGTGATCAGAATGGGTGAGATAATTGACCAATGTTGAACATGACCCTACCTGACTTGCCACTGATAAGCATTTTTTCCTTGCAAATAAAATTTAAAAATACTGTTTCTGAAAATGTTCAAAAAACTCTAAAGCATTACCTATGTGTAATCTGTCAAATTCATGTGGATATCTATCCACTCTGTGAGGTAAGCACGCACTAAGAGGACCATGTAAGAATCTGAGCCTCTGAAAACCAGTGTTGGGCTCCACGCTCCAGCCCAGGCAGACTTGGCTTTCATGGTATGAAGGAAATGGGACGTGTTGCTTTTTAAATAGTACTCACAGTTATTAAATAACATGATTAATAATAACGTGACCAAAGATTTTTAAAAATTCCTTTCCCACCTTTCCCCTCTCACGGGGGGTACATTACACTATCTGTTGCTGGTGGCATTGCTGCCATCCCCAAGTCCATGTTTCAACTGTGTGTGGCTTCCAGCACTTCAGTGAAATCTTATTTAATCACACATGCCATTTTATAGACCTGTAAAGAAGGGAGCACATGGCTTTTGGCAGGGGCACACTGTTCCAATGTGGTCTTCCCTATGTTTGCAGTAGGATGTTACAGCTCCAGGCTCCATGCCTTCCACCTTGTGAGTTCGCAGAAGCCTGTTCTGTGAAGAATACTTTTCGAATATGAAAGTTACCCACGAAGCATTCTGGACCAGGGGTGTGACTAAACCTCCAGCATGAGTTGGAATAGTAGCTTTCAGGGGCTTTGTTTCCACATAGTGCCTTTAAAATTGGTATTTTAAAAATGGTTATGATTGTACCACCATGTCCTTATTTATGATAATAGTAAAATTGCTACTTTAGCATTTTGTTGGTTTACAAATCTTTAAAAATGCTCAAAACATGTAAGAACTGTCATAGAATGTATGTGAGAGGAAACTTAAAACTTTGAGTTTTGAAATTTAAGCAGTTTTCTTGGAATAACGGCATTTGTGAGAATTTTCTCATTCTGCAGAGATGACCTCTTTGGGCCCACCTTGGTGTAGGCAATAACGATAGAAACTCTCGGCCGGGCGCAGTGGCTCACACCTGTAATCCCAGCACTTTGGGAGGCCAAGGTGGGCGGATCACGAGGTCAGGAGATTGAGACCTTCCTGGCTAACACCGTGAAACCCTGTCTCTACTAAAAATACAAAAAGAAATTAACTGGGCATGGTGGTGGGTGCCTGTAGTCCCAGCTACTCGGGAGGCTGAAGCAGGAGAATGGTGTGAACCCAGGAGGCAGAGCTTGCAGTGAGCCGAGATTGAGCCACTGCACTCCAGCCTGGGTGATAGAGCAAGACTCTGTCTCAAAAAAAAAAAACAGTAGAAACTCTCTGTCTTTGAGACAGACCATGAATGGGGGCTCGTGGGTAGGAGAGAAAGGGCGCAGTGCCTTGGGTAGCTCAGGATATGAGTGAGTACCCTGCCCCATGGAACATTCTGCCCTCCTCTGTTCTCCCCAAGATAGAGTAGCTGCAGCATATTGTCCTACTCTTGTACCCAATGGTGAGACTCAACTAGCAAGATTGGTTCCGTGTCCAGAATCAACAACAGAGGAAAGCCAAGAAACTCAACAAACAGGAGAATTTACACCTGAAAAAACATGCTTGTAGGCAGAACAGATATTCAGAACATGTGTGTTTTATAATCTCAGAGAACTATAAGATACAGACACCTTCATAAAAAAGAATCCAGTAGAGAATATAGAAATTAAAATTTGAGTTGATGAAATATTTTTAAAAGAGAGTAAGAAATACTCAAATAATGCAACATTACTTCCCAGAAATGAAAAGACATTGCATCTCTTATTGAAAGAGCCAACAGAGGCAATGAAAAATAAATGTACACATATGTGCACCCTTAATTCTTTATAATGAACCTTGAGAAATCAAGGCTTTAGAAAAATGCTGAGAGACAAGAAGCTTCTGAGCAGCAACACTGGATGCAGGAAAAAAAAATGGAGTAATAAGTGTAAAGTTCTGAGGGGAAAAATATCAGAACCTAGAATTCTAAATTTAACCAAACTGTCATTAAAGTAAATGAGAAAAGTAAATTCTTTTGAGAAACGCAGAGCCTAGAAAGATTACTAATCGTAGATCATCTTTTTTGTTTGTTTGTTTGTTTGTGACAGACTCTCACTCTGTCACCCAGGCCTGGAGTGCAGTGCTGCAATCTCGGCTCACTGCAACCTCCACCTCCTGGGTTCACGTGATTCTCCTGCCTCAGCTTCCTGAGTAGCTGCAATTACAGGTGCATGCCACCACACCTGGCTAATTTTTGTATTTTTAGTAGAGGCGGGGTTTCACCATGTTGGCCAGGCTGGTCTCGAACTCCTGATCTCAGGTGATTCACCTGCCTTGGCCTCCCAAAGTGCTGGGATTACAGGTATCTCACAGATCTTCTCTTGAAGTTGTACTTCTTCAAGTTGAAAATGAATCTAGGAAGAAGTGGAGTAGCAAAAGGTATAATGAGCAAAGACATTTATAAAATAATGGTTAAAGCATTACTAATAAAATGTAAAGCATTTGTGTTTGATAATGTGGAAATAAAATTGCAGGTGATATCAAAATGGGATGAGGCATTGGATGTGACCGTAGAATTTAGGAGGAGAATGAAAGGAAAAGCAAGCCTCCCTTATATTGTTCCAGGTTAGGGTATTGAGATATAATTAGCTGTAGATAACCTTAAAATCACAGGTATAATGGGTGTTAAGATTTAAGTATTAGCCGGATGTGGTGGCTCATGCCTGTAATCCCAGCACTTTGGGAGGCTGAGGCAGGTGGATCATGAGGTCAGGAGTTCAAGAACAGCCTGGCCAAGATGGTGAAACCCCATCTCTACTAAAAATACAAAAATTAGCTGGGCATGGTGGCGGGCGCCTGTAGTCCCAGCTACTTGGGAGGCTGGGGCAGAGAATTGCTTGAACCCGGGAGGTAGAGGTTGCAGTGAGCCGAGATTGTGCCACTGCCCTCCAGCCTGGGGTGACAGAGCAAGACTCCATCTCAAAAAAAAAAAAAAAGATTTAAATATTTATTAGTCAAAAAGTTAGAATTTATCATGTTCAAACCAGTAAAGGAAAAATGAAGCAAAGACAGTTTGGTGAATCCAACAAAAGTTAGGAAAAGGTGAAAAAGTAAATAGCCAGCAAGCTTGGTGAAGAAAAGTACAAAATAAATATGAGGATTAATCTAAATATATTCATAATCAAAATAAACACGAATGGACCAACTTTACCCAGGCAGCTGAAAGGAAAAAGAAATGACTCATTTAAACCTGAGAGAGGACAAGACAATCTGCCATTATTTGGATACTGATTATCTCTTAGAAAATCTGATTATCTCTTAGAAAATTGTATCTTAGAAAATCTGTGACATTTGAACAGTGTTTATCCATCTCCAACAACAACAACAAAACTGCCTCACACAATTTCAAATAATAATCTAAAGGACAAAAGCAAAACCAAAAATATAGACAGTATTAAAATACGAGACCTCTTTATTACCTTGGGAGTAGACGAGACCTTCTTGCAAATGATTTAATCAGCAAAAGACATGAAGAGTATTTATGAATTTGACTGTTTCAGATTTAAATTTAAAAATGATAAACGTTGTAAACAAAGTTAATAGACAAGCAAAAGCATGGGAAAATATATTTGCAAAATATTTAACCAAGGGTTGGTACCAAAATCTATGTAATTTGCAGAATTTTAAAAGTTTGACAAAACAATTATCAGCCCTTCGTAGTATTAAATTATACTATCATTGTGGAGGACTGACAGTCTCAAATAAATTAAAACTATGTCTACCTGATAACACTAACAAATCTACTTCTCTATGTCTGTCTTAGAGAAACCTTGCATGTTTGCACAGGGACACTCAGAAGTTCTGGAAGGATACTCCCAAAATGATAACAGTACTTGAGTTGTAGAAGATAACTATATATATATATGTGTTGGGGGAGACAGAGGGTGTGATGCAGAGGGCTATCAGGGGGACTTTATCTGTAATGTTTTATATTTTTATAAGGAGAATGCATATAACCTAAATTAGTTAAGGATTAATTTTGCAAAATATTTAAGAGTGGAAGTTTTATTTTCAGTTTCATAATAGAATTAAAGCCTCTCTCTTTGCAGTTAAAAGAAAAAGTGGCCTGTCTGTTAACGCAAAGTTTCAGGTTGAGCCCGCTTTTTATGTAATCATGAATCTCTGTTACTCAGTTCACTTTTTATAGTAGAGGGAGTTTTTAGATGAGAAGTTTATATACACCCTTCACGTTGTAATCATGAATCTTTGTTACTCAGTTGACTTTTTACAATACAGGGAGTTTTTAGATGAGAAGTTTATATACACCCTTCAGGTTGTATTGATGGATTTTGGTTGGAAGTCGTCTGCGTTTATCTTTAGGCATATCAGTTTTAAATGTTTAAATATCTGTAATTATTTTGTTTAACACTGATGTAGCTGGACTTATTATTCAGTCCACCATTTGAGATGGCAAAATCTTAAAAATACATCAAAGGCAGATTATTCTTGCCAGTCCTGTTTCAAGTATGCGAAAAATGGTAGGTAATACATTTACATTTTTAATTTCATTATATAAATGACATTAAACTAACCATAAAATAATTGCCAATAATAACAGCATTGTTTCACTGAGCTTCTATACATGACTGTGAGTCATTTTTCCTCGTCAAAATGAGAAGTGGTTTTTTTTCTTTCTTTTTTATAAAGTTAGATCCTAAATGCCCAACTTTTGACCATATTTTTCTTCTGCTTTGGAATTTTTTTCCTATCAGTCATTATATTTCTTTAGGAAACGTCTTTAAATTTTTTTGTGGGAAGGAACAAAGCTAGCAAAGAAACAGATGTGTCCCATATAAAATATGCAATAAATCTTGTCCCACAAATTCTTTGCTCTGAACTTTCTGACAGAAACTGTCAAATATCCACTTTAATTCAGGTATAAAATGTTCACTCCATGTCATGGCGCCAACCACCATATGCCAGAATAAAGTTAGTGACCAGCCATAAAAACAGCAGCATAAGCACCTTTGAAACGGTACAAGTCATCGTGGGTGAGAACGACCCATATAAATCCATAGGGAATTAATCTTGGCTTTGCTACTATCCTGCTGGGCATTTACAACAAGCTTCTACTCCCACACAGCAGAAGTAGTAATACTTTTTAAAAGGAGAGAGAAAATAAGAGAGCCGTATGTCCACCTAATAAGCTTGTTGGTTGGGGGGAAGGGGGTTGCATGGATCAGAAAGCAGTAGGTTTTCCTCCCCCTCCTCGGAGCTCTGGAATCCCCTTGAAGAGGCAGAGCTCAGCCTCAGTTGAACATGTGGGGTTCTTCTTCAGCTCGCCTTGCCTGCCTTCGCAGATCATGTGAAACCAATCTCCCTGAAGTGCAATCACAAGGAATGACTTCAGCTTCATAAATCATTGTTATCATCCCACAGGAGGAGGTAATGCTATGGTTTTTCTCCAGTAAAACATTTCAAGCCTCTGGTTTCATGAGCCTTTTTTTTTTTTTTTACTTTCTGAAATCAGCTTCGTGCCACTTGTACAATTAGCTTCAGGCTCCTGCGTACAGGAGATGGTGGCACTTCTCCAGTTTGCATAATATTTGAACATTTTACCCTCTCAGATTTCGAGGGAGATCTGTTTCCTACTGAATGCGTGCTTGTGTGTGTGGCTTGTCATATACACAGAGGCTTCACATTTGCTTCCAAGAATATACTGATCCTCAATATTTTTTGCATTAAGGGTATTTTCTTTATACTATATTTTTCAAATACAGAATAAGTAGTATATATTAGGTTTAAGCACAGGATAAAGAAATCTCAACTTACTTTGCAGTATTAGACACTATTTTAAAATGCACTGGTAGCCATGTAAAACATTTCTCTAAGGCGCAAAAATAGGAAGACTAAAGGGTGAAGCAATGGATGATTTCCAAGTTAAATCAAAAGATAAAAATCTGCCTTAATTCTATTTGGTAATATTTTAATAATCCTTCATAAACACTTCTTTCCTACAAGATCTCGTTTAGGAAGAACTGTCAAAAAATTATTCTGAAATGCTTTCATGAGTTTCTAGAAAATGTTTTGTTTGAATAGGTTCCATACTCACTTTGAAATAAAGGCTAATTTTTCAACAATTATTTTTAATAATTGTAAATTTAAATATAAATTCATTATAAAAGTATTCATTTAGAAGTTGACCTATACCTATACCTTTATGTTAAATAAAATGCAAGGGAAAAAATGAAAAAGCAAGAAAGGACATTACATTCAATATAATTTCAACTATATAACTAAAGCACAAATGAGTGTGTGATTATAAATATATACATTTATGAAATGAATCAGCATATTAATAGTGGCCATTGCTCAGAGAAAGTCTTATGCACTGCTTTTATTTTCTTATTTATATCTTTCTCAAATGTTCTACAATGAGGATTTATTACTTGTAAAATCTGGGGAAAATACAAAGGTTTGATAAAAAGCAGGGAAAAAGTGACCCACTGTAACATTCATTCTTATTGAATGTATTGTTAAATTGTTACCATATCAATGTGATTATTCAATGTTTGTACAAATTTTTCTTCAACAAAAGCTTTTTCTCTGAGGATGACAGTTATGATTGAAAGGTGACTCTGGAGGATTCCACCTGGAATTCTGATAAATTCACTGTCAGCACTTTCACCTCGACTTAGAAGCAATGTGGTCACTTTAAAAACCAAGCCTCATTTCTTTATTTCCTTTTACTGGCTCTGATAATGATTGCTTCTGCTAATGGTTCATCTACTGGTGGAACAGATCAAATGTTCTTTAATGTGGAAAATATCTTCTGCAGCATCTTCTTTGGGAATCCCAGTTCTCTCAGCATTTTCTTTTCCTGCAAATATCACCCAAGAGACAGATTATGACCTTCATCACACCTAGATACTTGGTAACATCAGAGCTCTTGAAGTCATCGTGTTAATTCTTGGGTACCATTTCTAGTGGACCCGTTTTAAACCTCCAGCTATGACAAACCCTTGACCAAGTGAAATAAAAATGGGTTAAAAAGTAATTTGATGTTGTAAGCAATAGCCAATATTAGGGAAATTAGACTTTTGTCGGGTTCTGTGGCCATGTAAATTCAGTTTCCTAAGTACATTTAGCCTTTGCCAGGGTTTTAAAAGAAGATTGATTTAAGGATAGCAATGGCTATTTCATGATTATTTACAGGACGTTCTGGTAGTCTATTCATTTTTATGACTAAACATCTGAACAATTATTTTTCTAGAGGGAGAGCTTCAGCTATTTAACAAATGTGTTAAGCTACACAGATGTCAGAGGTTTCGTGTAAATAGATCTAGAACAAGAAATTTCCTTTGTCAAGGTATGATGCTGTATATTGTAAATCATGTATAAGTATGGCTTCTTTCTTCTCTTAGTTTTTCTTTAGTTAACGTCAGTCTTAAGCCATTAAAATCTCTGACCATGCCTAATAGCTTTTTATCTGAATTTTACTCTTTATAATGTGATTGAAACTATTCTTAATATTGGATGTCCTTCTGAACAATTTGTAAAAAATATGTAGAATGGTTACTTTATAGAGATTGTAGAATTTCATGTTGCCTGTGAGTATAAGGTGTGAATAAAGGACTTTAATGTGGGTGACTGCCCAATGAAATTTAACTTATCCGTGACAATGGTTGTTTTTCTGTTACGACTTATTTCTCTATTGTTCCACTGTAGTAATATGACAGTTTTACAGTTTTTCAGCAGGAACCTATAAAGAATCACAGTGTGGCCTAGTGAAAACTAGTCGGGAGTCAGGGGACAGCTTCTTTCTTTTTTGCCCAAAACTATTTGTATGACCTTAGGCAGGTCACTCGCTTTCAAAGTGCTCTGCAGCTGCCTCCAAACAGCATCTGTTGTTTCTTTTTCTGATTATATTAAATGAGCCCCTTTCTTCAAAAAGCAACTAAAAACAAATGAAAAACAAAAATCCTCTTAACCAGAGAGGCAGAAATAGCAACCATAATATTTTGGTATGTTACCTTCTGACTCTTTTATGGATTCAATATTTTGATAACTATATATATAATGTGTGTGATATACCTTTTGACGTAACTTTAGGCACATCATGCCACTGCTTTATATTCTTTATTTATAATTTTGTCATAGCATTTTCCCGTGATATTTTTTGCAAGCACGTTTTGTGGTATGTGGGTCTAGGAAGTGTGCTTTAATCCTTGGGAGCTTACTGTAGGGATACACGTATTACTAAGGAGAAACAGGGTGCTGAAATTCCCCAGAGAAGTTTCACAGGAACCCAAGAAAGGCTGCACAAGCAAATGTCACTGGATTACAAAGAATTATAGTGATGGTAGTCATTATCATAATCGGTATTTACTTAACTAATGTGCCAGGTGCCATGGCCGAGCACCTTACAAACATCTCTTTTAATTACTACAGCTGTCGAATGTAGGCTCTATCATTACTTTCATTTATAGATGAGAAAACTGAGTCTTAGCCACATTAAACAACTGACCCAGTGTCAATAGTTAGAAAGTAATGGAGCACTTGGAAGCTTCGGCTCCACTGTTAATCCACAGTGTAGAACCTAAGAATTTAGTATCATAGCACCTGGCATACTGAGTATTCAGTGAATGTTCATCGCCATCATTACCACCACCACCACCAATCTGACTGTGCTAGGCCATTGTATTAGACTACTTTATAAGCATTAGGTTGACTGTCCTTGGATCTTAGTTGTAGCTATGGCTGGTGAAGGGAAGGGGACACACTCCAGTACGTGATTCCGTTATTGGAAAATCCACTATCTATTCAGTCTCCTATTATTGTTTAACTTAGCTTGTTTTTAAACTATAGCATGAGGGGTTTATATGAGGTAATTTCTTAAGTTTTGTATAGCTCCATAGTTTTCAAGTGTAAGGTTTCATTTTATCTAGTGTACATATGGACAAGTTAAAGTCTGAAGAATGAAGTATTGGCCCTAAATATCATAGATAATCATCAGAGGCAGTTATGGGAAACCCAAAGAAGCTAGTTGGAGAACTTTTTCTTCCATTAAAAAAAATTAACATGAGGTGCTTTCTTTCTTTAGATTTGCTGAATATCTAGTACTAAAATGCTATGAGGTTAAAAAAATGAGAGTTGCTTTTGAAGAACACTACTTTAAAGAAGAAATAAAAATAAACATGCAGGCCGGGCGCGATGGCTCACGCCTGTAATCCCAGCACTTTGGGAGGCTGAGGCGGGCAGATCACGAGGTCAGGAGATCGAGACCATCCTGGCTAACACGGGGAAACCCCATCTCTACTAAAAATACAAAAAATTAGCTGGGCGTGGTGGCGGGCACCTGTAGTCCCAGCTACTCGGGAGGCTGAGGCAGGAGAATGGGATGAACCCGGGAGGCGGAGCTTGCAGTGAGCCGAGATCGCACCACTGCACTCCAGTCTGGGCGACAGAGCGAGACTCTGTCTCAAAAATAATAATAATAATAATAAAATAAAATAAACATGCAGCCTATTACCACTTTGCTCATGAACCTGCTACAAATTCACACTTTTGTGGACATTCTCACCAATTAATAAAGCAACAAGTTACCGATTTATAAATACTAGGTTTATAGTCTCAAGTGCTAAGCATTTGAATACAAAGTTTGAAAGAAAAAGGCCGTAGTCCATGCCTTTCAGAAACTATACACCTTCAGACTAGTGCTAATGTTAAGATGAGACAGAGTTGTCTGGGAAAGAAGAGCTTCCTCCAAATTAGAATACCTGCAATTTATCACCAAATGGTTATCCAGAGCCTTGTGATTGTAAACCCCATTGCTTTTGAAATTTCACTAAGGTTCTTGATGAAACAAAATGCAAGAAGCCTTCTTTTAAAAATTTAGCTTCTTTGCAATTCCTAATATTTCCTAAATGGTGTCTGCTGTCTGAATGATGAGGCTATAGAGTTTAGTTTCCCTACATGACACCTGAAATACTTCTAAAGTATTGTATAAGGTCAGACCCTTCCCGTTGGAAATGAGATGGCTGGGAGACAAGGTAGACATTACAAGGAAACAGGATTTATGTATAATTATTTTTTAATTACAAGGAAATAGATTTATGTATAATTATCCCTTAAGTGAAAATTATATTTTATAAATATGCTTGTTTAGAAATATCTGTGAAAAATAACTAAGGAAAAGCATTTTACAAAAGACATCTGTCACTTCTATTAATGCTGATAAGTTAAAGACATATATGGGTCTAGAAGATGGTATAACTTGGAGAATTTCAGGCCCTGTTTGAGAATGTGACCACCTGACTCCCATTAATGTTAATGAGTCTCTCACCAGATCATTCTGAAATTGTACCCCCACGGTCTGTTTTAAAGCATCAAGAGTCAGGAAATTTAGCGTGAAAGCTGAAATTCCATCTTGGAACTTTCTCTCTGATGTATCTATTCCTATGGAAGATGTGTAGTACAGTGCAGCTTCGAAATACCACCTCGGTGTTTGGGAATCCTGGAGAAAAATGCTGCCCCTTGGGAAGCAGCAGGGAGCGTTGGAAAATGTAGATTATTAGTCACATTATTAGCCAAAATTATTAAATTATTAGTCAAAAGTCCTGGATTCTGTGACTATTAGTGTAATCCAAATAGTCGCTTCATCTACTTGGGTATCCATTTTCTCCACGTTGAGATTAAATAGTTGGGCTAAGTTATAGCAAGGTTAAGGTTATACTGTCTTATCAACTTCATCAAGGAATTGCATCTGTATCACTCGAAGCCAAGATGTTTCTGCATACAGGTAGTTGTGCAGCATTGAGGGACTTCACTGGACTACACAGAAGCAGAGGAACAAAAGTAGTAGAATATCAGCCACAAATCAAATGATTGCCTTTAAGAAGAATGAACAAAATCCTTCATAAAGTCTGAAGGCCAAGTGTTTTGTCAGTATTGTAAATGGTTGAAAGACTTACCTTGGGGCAAAGCATCTCATCTCTAGTGAAAATATATTGGGAAAAAAAAAGTGAGTTTACTTCTGAAAAAGTGTGGGTAAATATACTTCATTTAGATCCCAATTATACTTGTGTCCGATTACCTCCTAGAACTGTGACTTGATAAAATGTTTACTTTTGCAGTAGTTACTATTGATCACAGACTAGATGTATAATGTGGTTAAGTGTTTGAGATTATGGTCATCCCTCAGTATCCGTGGAGGATTGGTTCCAGGACCCTTATGGATATTAAACTCTACAGATGCTCAAGTCTCTCATATAGAATGGTGTCGTAATTGCTATAACCTACACCCATTCTTTAAATCATCTCTAGATTACTTATGATACCTAATACAATGTAAATGCTATATAACTAGTTGTTAGACTGTGTTGTTTAGGGAATGACAAGGAAAAAAAAAGCGTGTATATGTTCAGCACAGACACAACCATCCATTTTTCCCCAAATGTTTTCAGTCTGCAGTTGGTGGAATCCATAACCCACAGATACAGAGGGCCAACTGTATATTGTGATCTCTGAAATTGTACCTGTCACCTATACAAATTATTATTACAGTCACCAGAGAATATAAATGAATACATGACACCTGAAATATTTCTATTGTAGAAGGTCTGACCCTTTCTATTGTATGCAAACAGCACTTTGTAATTCATGTTGTTATACCAATAAGATATTTTACGAATATCATCGTACTAGATTTAGAGATACAGGCTGAGAATCTCTAATCTGAAAATCCAAAATGCAAAATGCTCCAAAATCTGAAACTTTTTGAGCACTGACATGACATGAATAAACTGTCTGTTGCGCACCTGCGTTTTGACAAGACCCATCACTTGACTTTATGTGACGGTCTCGGCCAAAATGCAGGAGCACAATAGACAGTTTTTTCAGTGTCCTTGAGGGAAGAATAAAATTACCTTCAAGCTCTATGTATAAAGTATATATGAAACATAAATGAATTTCATCTTTAGACTTGGGTCCCATCCCCAATGTATTACATTATGTATATGCAAGTATCCCAAAATGTGGGGGACAAAAATTGAAATTGGAAACAATTCTGGCCTCAGGCATTTCAGATAAGGAGTACTCAGCCTGTATAAAAGTGTAAATGACTTAATATTATAAGTCACTTGTAAGTTTGATTGCCTCAGGACTCACATTTTCAACTATGTGTAAGGGAATTAAGTCGTACTGCCCTATCTCTGCCATTGTGTGTAATGAGTTGGCATTGTCCTAGACATTTAGAATGTTCCCGGTGATGTGTATATGGGGAAACTGAGAAAATAGCTTCTCAAATCCTTTTCTGTGTTCTGCAGTTCAGATGAAGGACCCTGGTTGAGAACAGCCCCAGGTGCCCAAGTTAGGTGATACCATTTCGTGGTTTTGTTTGTTTGTTTGTTTGTTTGTTTGTTTAGTGTCCATAAAATACTCCAATTCACTTAAGGGGCAACTAGAAATGGCAGATTAAAATGGTGAAAAAGGCTGGGTGTGGTGGCTCATGCCTGTAATCCCAGCACTTTTGAGAGGCTGAGGTGGGTGGATCACTTGAGGTCAGGAGTTTCAGACCAGCCTGGCCAACATGGCGAAAATACAAAAATTAGCCAGGCATGGTGGCATGTGCCTGTAATCCCAGCTACTCAGAAGGCTGAGGCAGGAGAATCGCTTGAACCCAGGAGGCGGAGGTTGCAGTGAGCCGAGATCGCACCACTGCACTCCAGCCTGAGTGACAGAGCGAGACTCCGTCTCAAAAAAAAAAAAAGCAAATAAAATGATGAAAAAGACAAGGTCTGCAAAGTCTGACTGGAAATAAGAGGATCCAGGATAGCACATCAGCCTGGGAGGTAGACTAGATGACCATTTGAAGACTCCTTTTAACTGGATTTTTTTTTTTTATTTTATGACTCTGAAGACCTCTTCAGAGTGTAGTGACACAATGTCCTTTACTTGGTACTTTCACCAAAAGCCTAGTTTCCTAGTCCACTTTAGCCTTAGGCAAGTGACCTGGAAATCCTACACCCTACACTAGGAACCTTGACAGCATGTCTTTATACAACCTCATAACACTTTACACAGAAAATCTCACAGGTGGCCCTCTACTCTTCAACTTTACCATCCAGCTTAGACACTTGCTCTGACAGACCAGAAATGATCACTCTTCTAATTTCACCACAACCAGGAAAACTAATAACTTAGGAAGACCAGCAAGGATATCGTCCTCCATGGGCAAGCATACCAGAAGGAAAAATGTAAGGGTAAGAACTCTGCATCACAAACTGGTTCCAAATATCTGTTGTTTTCTTCTCTCAAATGTTAAAAGGCCATCCCTTTCCGATGTCAGCGTGCTGTGCCTCTGTTGGTGTAAAGCATTTGTTTCTCCTGGAAAGTGCACAACGGGGATTTTCTAAGAAATGGAAAACGATTGCCACACTCACATCAGACGGATCCCACGTGAAGCAGAGCGCAGTCCCTTTGTTTCCTCGTTAGCATCACCCGGCTCCCATATTTGTAGAGCTGTAATAAAAACAACTTCTTAACTGTGCGTCCTGTTGGTTTATACCAACCATGTCAGGTCCATAAACCATGGTATATTAAAGTGTAATAGACTGTGTAAAGAATACTAGGAAGATACTCCAACCCTTATCCCTTCCCCTTATTTCACAATTTACTGCCTCCCAGATGGGCATCCATAAATAGGACTTAATTGCGTTTGGCATAAAAGCCCCACTTTCTTTAAAGAGTGGCCTCCTCCTTCAGCCACTCTCATTGTATGAATGCCACCCTCTTGAGAATAAAAACTTCGGTTATTTGGGTACATGTAAATGGTGAATGTTCTTAGTCTGAATATTTTATGGAAATATCATTTTATTTATAAAAACTTTCTCTTTTTCAAAGTTAACTGTGGAAAATAGTATATTTTAAAGACTCAATCTGATACAGACGAAACTGGAGGGTTAATGCTATTTGTGCCTCCCTATAGTGTTAGTGCTGTTTGTGCCTGTGTTAATGTATCAGTCTAAAAGCAGGACATAGGATGGGCATAGTAATCTCTTGCTTTTCAGTTCTACTCTACTCTTCACTATTTTGTTGCAAACAAAAGATGGAAGATTAGAAATTTCTGTGCCAAAAAACAGGCACTTAATGAGTAGGGACTGTGTTCTGCTAACATGGGTTCTTCTGTTGTGTACTTTTCCATCTGTCAAATAAGTACACAAGGCTGGGCACGGTGGCTCACGCCTGTAATCCCAGCACTTTGGGAGGCTGAGGCAGATGGATCACTTGAGGTCAGGAGTTTGAGACCAGCCTGGCCAACATGGTGAAACCCTGTCTCTACTAAAGATACAAAAATTAGCCAGCCATGGTGCGTGCCTATAATCCCAGCTACTTGGGAGGCTGAGGCTGGAGAATCACTTGAACCCGGGAGATGGAGGTTGCAGTGAGCTGAGATTGCATCACGGCACTCCAGCCTGGGTGAAAGAACAAGACCCTGTCTCAAAAGAAAAAAAAAAATAAGTATTTGAGTACCTGCTAGGTAATAGTTGAGAGAAAAACTCTGAAAACAGATTTTGGTTGCAACTCTGAAAGGAGCACAGAGTCCAGTGGGAAAAGCCAGCTGCAAGCCAGTGACCTTGACATAGCATTCTGTGTGCTGTGATAAGGAATTGTGGGGAGATAGTGTGTTTGGATCTCCACAGAAAGAACGGCTCACCACATTATGGGGGAGAGGCATGGAGGGCCCCTCAGAGGAGATTTTCAAGCTTGGTTTTCAAAGAAAGAGAAGACATTCAAACAGAAGGGTAGGAGAAGGGAGAAGGGCAAGGAAGAGAAGGCATTAGAAACAGAAGGAGCAAAGTGCCCAAAAATAAAGACACCATGCAGCAAGTTGAGTCCAGAGACCAGCCATGAGTCCCACGCAGCAGGAGCTCTGGGGATGATAGTATGGGGATGGCAGGAGGCAGGTGTGAGGGGCACACTGTGAACTGCAAATGCACTTTGTCTTCAGAGGAGGAACCAGTGAGAACATTAAGCAGAAAAGGGGCATAGTTCACTTTGCCTTCTAAAATGGCAGTTTTGGTGGCAACAAAGAGAATTGAATTTACTGTGCAATGAGGGGAACCTGTTACAGGTCACCATATAGAGCCTAGAGGTTAAGGAAGGAATCTTAGCTCTCAGAAAACTTAACCTCTCAAAAAAAGACTCCTGTATCATTGTCTTTTATTTGGTATTGGGGAAGTGATCCAGTTAATCAGGTCAAAGATTACAGAACTCCATGGTCATTAAGGGGAAAAAACAGGTGAGAGTAATCATTAAGTACCTCTCCCCTCACATCCACCCCCATGACTCCCAGTTATTTGTTAAATTATAAATAAGTTTTTCTCTTTCTCCTGAGGATGAAATAAAACAAAATGAGCTGAAACAGCAAATAAAATGACTTTAGGTCAGACATAGGGAACCACCCTTTTGTAGAAAAGCCTTTTACAGGCCATGCTAAGGACATCAGCTCAGTGAGTGAAATGAAAAAAAAAAAAACACTAAAGTTTTGAGCATAAATGATAACAACCAAAATTCTTGTCTACTGAAAGCAGTTATGAACATTCTAAAGAAAGCATGTTGTGTGCAATTTTGTGATAACCATGCCAAAAAGTCAGAAAGCTAGAGTAGTGACTACTAGCATTTGCTTCTAGCCAATAGACAATAAATGGCTGCCATTCTGGAATGCCCATCATATGTCAGTCACTAGATTAATCTCACACGTTCAGTATATCTCATAGTCACAAGCACTTTGCAAGGTAGATCTTATTATTCCCATTTTACGGATAAGGCTCAGTGGAGTTAAGTGATTTTCTGACGATCACCCAGTTAATAAGTATCAGAGCAGAAATTAAACCCAGGTCCACCTGGTGCAAAACCCAAGCTCTTTCCTCTATGCTACACTTCATTTAACTCTGGCAAAACAGCCAACCCACTGGAAGCTTGAACCCCCAGCAGCCATGGCATGACGTTGAACTGTCAAAGACCTGACTGCAAAGACTGGCTGCAACTATGTGGGAGGGTAGGTATCATCATCTCCATTTGACAGAGCAGGAGACTGAAACACAGGACACTGTGATTGGCTCATGACACTCAGGTGACACAGCTAGGGTTAAAGCTTGGCAGTTAGTTATCATGAGTTCTGATTTGCATTCCTTGGGCCCATAGCCATGGAATAGAAAGCCATTTCTGCTTCACTTGGTAGGCTGTGGAACTATGAACTTCAGAATTGTTCTTGTGGAGCAATTGTATGATATATAGTTCCCGTATTGAAAAGCTAGAACTAGAACGTTGGAACACCGGGATTCTTATACTTGGCCCACAGTGACCTTATTTGTTGATGGTATTAGAATTTGAGTTTGTGACTCCAGTCTTTAAACATGGTTCTTCCAGGTCATGTATTTGTGTTTTGCTTAGAGCATCTTGAAGACTTAAAATGTGTAATGGCCTGGTTTAAAATTTTACACATTCAAGTAGGAGAAATATTTCATGCTGTTAGAGCTTCCAAGTCACACCATAAAGGTAGATGCCTTTTGTATCTGTACAAGGGCAAAATTAGGGAACATTTAAATCTCTAATTTCTTCTCATTTTCCTGAAGGCCCTTTTCCCTAAACCCTCAGAGTTTTCTGCAGTGTGCATTGGCTCTTAATAATACCTCTTTTTACATTTAGACTCTGTTTCTCCAAATCACCATATTCACAGAGGTATTGCAAAATCTTACCTGATGCTCAATTCAGTTTGAATAGGGTATTTCTTGTCACTAAATTCATATACAGTTATGGCTTGGCCACACTCTGCTTAGCACACACAGCTTGGAAGTAGCCAGTTAGAAACCATCTGCTGAGAGAGCAGAGCTGGTCCAAGAAGATCACTCGGGCCTCAGAGGAATTTTTCCTCCTGTTTGGCTATGCACATAACTTAAAATCACTGGAGAAGAACAGATCACTAGTTTGTTTCACATTTTGGGGAACTTGATAACCTAGGAGAGACACAGGTCATTTCTCAGTATCTGATTGGCTAAGTACCAGACTAATTCACAGAAATTCCTGCCAAGAGTATGGGGGGACATCAGACAGCAAAAGATGGCCCTGGCCATGGCTTCCGTCTGCCTAAAATGATGCACTTATGAAAGCTGAATCATTTTAATATAAAACAAAATAAGTTTTACTAGTTGAAATATACTACATTTAGAGATAATGGTATACAACATTAGCCTCTCAATCTTCTTTAGCTTATGTTCATATTCTAAATATAAAGTTTTTTCAGGAAAGCCAGTATATCTCTTTTTAAGCAAGCTTTATCCAATATATGCATTTTTAAGCTAAAATGATTGCTTTAACATATAGCCAGTTTTCTACAATTAAGGCTACAGCAGAAAGCAAGCCAGGTGAAGCTGCTGCCCTCCTAGAGCTTACATTCAGTTGTTGCATGATAAACACATGAGGAAAGGAATAGTCTGTTAGGTAGATAGAGGCTGTGGGAAGGCTATGGAAGGAAGGTAGGGGTAGAGGGTGTGTGTGGAGGGGTAGTAGGAAGATGATGAGTGGCAAGGGATGGTCTTTTATTTACGGAAGCTGGAGAAGGAGATACTTCTGCTGAGACCTCAATGCAGTGAGGGAGCCCATCGTGCAGACTGTGGTCAGGGTGTTCCAGAGAGGAGGAACAGCAAGTGCAAAGATCCTCCAATGTGCACGCTCAGTGCGCTCAAGCCAGAGGCAGCTGCCAGCGAAGCTGGAAAGGAAGGGGTGTGGGAAAGAGGAGGTAATGCCACCAAACAGCCAGGGAGCCGACTTAAGTGCAGGGCCTTCTAGAGCATTTTGAAGACTGTAGATACTATGTCAAGGCTGATGGCAAGACAAGCCATTGGAAGGTTTTGAGCAGGGGAGCCTTTACATTTTAAAATCAATGAGGAAGATTATGGTAATGTAGTATTAATACCTGCCATGGCCTATATTGAGCACACATTATGTGCTAAGCACTCTGCATGTATTATCTCATTAAATCTTTACAGCAGCTGTATGATAATGGTCACTATGGCTGTTCTCATGGGACAGATGAGGCAATAACTAAGCATTTGGTCTTAACTAACTTGCCAAAGTCATACAGATAGTAAGTGGTAGGGCCAGGTTTAATAAAAGGGTGATGTTTCAAAATCCCTTATCTTTCATGAAGTATCACAGCATAGATCCTAGATACGAGACTTACTTATTTTCGTTCATTTTACATCATTGTAGCCCTAAATTAAAGGAATCTGAAGGCTTATGTTACATAATAACATGTTACATAATAACATAACAACTTATGTTGTAGCTTATGTTAACAACTTTCCTATTTTTCTGGATATTTTAAAGTGTGAGAGTGGTATTTTCATATATAATAATATATCTTCTGATTGTAGAGAAGGATATATAAAAGAACCACCCCAAAATGAAACCTCTTGATAATCCTATAGAAAGAACATAGGTTCTTAACCTGTGGATTCAGAATTGTATCTTAGTATCACTGATTTTCTTAGTAACCTTATGAAAACATTATTCTGACAAGAGTCCATGGGCTTCCCTAGACTGCCAAAAGGGCCTGTGGGTGTGGAGGCAGTATGCGGCAAGATTCCCATGACTCTGAGCAGCACTGCTGCAAATGCTACTGGATTTATAATGTTTAGAGTAAGGGGGAACATGATGAGACGTGCAAGAGGGACCACATGTCGTGATCTACCCAAGATTTCCCTAATTTATGTCTTTGCCTAGGTGTAATTATTAACATTACTCTCAAAAGTATCCCAGAGGAAACAATAAATTATTTGGCCACTATTAGCTATGTCTGTTATCAAGACTTCATGACTAAAACACCAAAAGCAATGGCAACAAAAGCCAAAATAGATAAATGGGATCTAATTAAACTAAAGAGCTTCTGCACAGCAGAAGAAACTGTCATCAGAGTGAACAGGCAACCTACAGAATGGGAGAAAATTTTTGCAATCTACCCATCTGACAAAGGGCTAATATCCAGAATCCACAAAGAAAAACAAATTTACAAGAAAAAAACAACCCCATCGAAAAGTGGGCAAAGGATATGAACAGACACTTCTCAAAAGAAGACATTTATGCAGCCAATAGACACATGAAAAAATGCTCATCATCACTGGTCATCAGAGAAATGCAAATCAAAACCACAATGACACACCATCTCACTCCAGTTAGAATGGCGATCACTAAAAAGTCAGGAAACAACAGATGCTGGAGAAGGTGTGGAGAAATAGGAACGCTTTTACACTGTTGGGAGTGTAAATTAGTTCAACCATTGTGGAAGACAGTGTGGTGATTCCTCAAGGATCTAGAACTAGAAATACCATTTGACCCAGTGATCCCATTACTGGATATATACCCAAAGGATTATAAATCATGCTACTATAAAGATATATGCACATGTATATTTATTGTGGCACTATTCACAATAGCAAAGACTTGGAACCAAGCCAAATGTCCATCAATGAGAGACTGGATTAAGAAAATGTGGCACATATACACCATGGAATACTATGCAGTCATAAAAAAGGGTAAGTTCATGCCCTTTGCAGGGACACGGATGAAGCCAGAAACTATCATTCTCAGCAAACTATCACAAGGACAGAAAACCAAACACTGCATGTTCTCACTCATAGGTGGGAGTTGAACAGTGAGAACAGATGGACACAGGGTGGGGAACATCACACACTGGGGCCTGTTGGGGGGTGGGGGGCTGGGGGAGGGATAGTATTAGAAATACCTAATGTAAATGACGAGTCGATGGGTGCAGCAAACCAACATGGCACATGTATACATATGTAACAAACCTGCACGTAGTGCACATGTACCCTAGAACTTAGTATAATTTAAAAAAAAAAAAAGCAGTGGTAGCAAATAAAGCAAATTGAGTGTTATTGCCAGGACATGTGCTAGAGGCTACCCCCCCCCCCCCCCCCGAATTCAGACCTCCTGTGGTAATGAATGGGTGTAATTGAAGCTGTAAGATTACGCAAAGGAGACAACAGAAGAAAAAATTTTTAATCATGATTTATCTTTTACAGCCAAAAAAGAGCATAAGATGGAAGAAAGTCACTTGGAGAATGCACAGAAAAGGTAAGCAGCTCTGATTTGGCCCCAGTTCTTTCTTTGACTAGCCATTCTTTTGTATTATTATTATGAAGTGCATTCATTTTGCTATGCAGTTCTATCTCCAAAACATTTTTACTTCCCCAACTGAAACTTTATACCCTTTAAACACAAATTCCCCATTCCCCACTCCCCTGTCCCTAGGCAACCACCGTTCTACTTTCTGTCTCTGTGACTTCGACTACTTTAGCTACCTCATGCAATTGGGGTCATCCAGTATTTGTCCTTGTGTGACTGACTTCTTTCCTGTAGCATAAGGTTTGACTAGCCCTACTTTCGGCCCCATGTGTTAAGACTATGCATCCATAAGCAATAAGCTTCACTTGGAAGCTGGAGTGAAAGCACTGTAGCAGGACTTAGGAATATTTTTCCTCAGGAAGTGAGGAATCATCCAGAAGTGACTCACCTGCCTCACATGCGTGTCATGACACTATTCTGCCTGTTTGCCTGTCCTGCATTGCTCTGCTCCTGAACCGCTTGATGGAAGTCAGGGACAGTTTGATCCTTCCTGGCATTACAACTAGATCAAACTAATTATTGCAGACACCCAAGAGACTTATTATGTCTTTCCTCAGCTTCTAGAGGAGGATATTATAAACAAGGGGCAGGTAGGGAGAAGGGGCTGTCCATATGTTCAGGTGGGGAGAAGGGGCTGTCCATATGCCCATACAGCGTATGGACAATTTCCCCCAGAAGTTGGGGAACACCTCAGAGATCTTCTGTTCAGATTCATGTCACCCACTTCAGGCATCTTCTTGCTCGCTCACTCTCTCAATAGATATCACATGGGAACCATTCACTCCACCCAGTGGAACCTAATCATCAGCAGTTCTCATCCCTTAGGGCTTTTTCCTTTTTGTTAGTTGACCAGGTTAGTCAGTGTGGCTCTCCCTCCCTCATAGAAGAGTGAGTGGCAATAGACAGCGGTATTCTCATATTTAGGGCTGAAATTTGAGATACATTTTGCTGGTACGAATTCTAAAAGTACTGGTAAATTAGATGACAGGTAGAGGTAGGAGACAGCATCTAAGGACAAATGAGCTTTACAAATGTGTGAGAGGAACAGTTACCCAGTTAGGAATTTAAATGCAAATAAACAGATTGTAGAAATTAACCATTTTCCTCCTGTCTAGCCACAATTTCCGAGACTTCTGAAATCCCATAGACGGTGCCATCTGCCCTGCTTTCACAGGTGCCAACATCTTGCCCTGCTTCCCACTGTAATTACCAATAAGATTAAAATGCTGGTGAAAGCAAGGTGAAGGCAAGTCTTGCACTTTGCTAAGTACAGACATATTCTCAAATCGTGCTTATCATCCTATCATAATAATCATTCAAAACTGAGATAATTCCATGGCTATGTTTTTAGGAGTTTGTGTCTCTCTATTGACCTTATTCCTATGTTAAGCTTCCCTTCACAATGCATAAAACTAGCACGTCTGTGTTATAGAAACATCCAGCACATAAGAGATTATCAACAAGGGCACGTTGGTGTCAGGCCAAACAGAAATTCAGCTTCTGGGGCGGATGTCAAATTTCTAATACTTTTTCAGGATTCTTGCTGAAGGAAAAGGGGGCCCAGCGTGGAGGGGCCGAAACTGCTGCCGTGCATTAGCTCTGTGGAGGGGAGTCATAAATTCTGGTTGTCAGCGTTTTCCGTGGCTTTGTGGTGAAGGTAGTCTAGCTTTCATGTCATACATGAAATATGTTAGATCCCATCTTTAATGTAGAAACCACAGTTGTTTGGTTATACTCTTTAAGGAGGTTGTGGTCAGTGTTGCAATATTTGTGTGAGATTAGTGAATTCTTATGTTTTATTCTCAAGAGAAACAATTTACTCTGAGGCTAAGGAATATTTGCTTTTCCTAAGCAGTTTCTGAAGGCATGCATGTAAGACAATAAGTGGATGTGTTCCGCTCTGGATCTCAGGACTGTAAAAGTAAAACAGTTCACTTCGCTACAGGCTCTTTGATGTAATCATTGTCTGTACTTTAAAAATGTTTGGCTGAATTAAAAAGATACAAATCAGACAGGGAATTATAGCAGAGAGAAAAGGGGTCAGGGACTAGTTTGCATGAAATGAAAAAGTTATATAAAACCAAACATAGGATTAGAAATCAATCTTCTAAAATTTGAGAGCCATTTTAGAGCTATCTGCTAACAAATAGAAATTTCAAATCGCATGATTGACCTTTGTTTCCTGTATATTAGAGAAGATTCTCCTGGTTGTTAAATATCAACAATTTTCTTGTCCAAATTGCAAAAGATTTTCAGTGGTCAATCTCTGTGAATCAAAACTGAATTTAAAATGGAGTTTTGTCTAGGAAAGACAACAGTCTAGGCCTTATCAAACCATTGCAGGTTCATATTCTAGCTTTTAGCATTTTCTTAAACAGTGGAATAACAATGAAATCAAATAAGGCACACTGGTTTTGTTTGTTTGTTTGTTTTTTGAGACGGAGTCTCATTCTGTCGCCCAGGCTGGATTGCAGTGGCGCCGTCTGGGCTCACTGCAAGCTCTGCCTCCCAGGTTCACGCCATTCTCCTGCCTCAGCTTCCTGAGTGGCTGGGCCTGCAGGTGCCTACCACCACGCCTGAATAATTTTTTTTTGTTTGTTTGTTTTTGTTTTTTTGTTTTTGTTTTTAGTAGAGATGGGGTTTCAGCATGTTAGCCAGGATGGTCTCGATCTCCTGACCTCGTGATGCACCCGCCTCGGCCTCCCAAAGTGCTAGGATTACAGGCGTGAGCCACTGTGCCCGGCCAAATAAGGCACATTCTTGAAGCGACTTTATCTTTGTCTAAGCTGCTGAGTGCCAAAGCCAGGCCATCCTCTGGGAGTCTGTGTACTTTGGTTCTTCTGAAGAGGTTCACTTGCTTTCTTAGTTTCCAAAACACATAAGAAAAAAAAGGCTGAAATTTAGTATTTTTTTTAGTGTTTCTCCCCCTTTCAGGGAGAGTAAGCAAGCAGTACCTCACAAATCCCCAGGGAGAGAGGCAAGGAGGGCAATGGTTAGCTTCAGTTTAGAGTTGGGAAAATCGAGGCCCACAGGAGGATGATGTGTTTTTCTCAGGCTGTGCAACAACCACCAAATCACTCTTGACATTCTCTGAAACTGCACCAGGATTTGCAATATGTTGATCTCACAATCTAGACTCCAGGTGATGCCAGAGGTGTCAGGTGTTCCATGAAGCACAATAACTGGACTTCACTATATTTTGCTGGAAAATCAGAAGATAAGTTGTCCCTCTAAATACTAGAAATGAAAGACTTTCCCTTCCCCATGAATGCTCAAATAAATATGTATCTGTATAGAAGGTAAGCATAAGAAAGAGAAAAAATAATCACATGCCCTCCCTGGGGTAATGCATGTTATGTGTGATACAGAGGAGGACACCTGTGTCTAAAGTAGAAAAGGGTGGGGTAAAACGACTATTTTGTCTCTTAAATGCCTGTGTTATTGAGCATGAGCAACAGAAAGATAAAGTAGACAGAGCATTTCACAGAAAATCAGGGGACCTGAATTCCAGGCCCAACCCTACCAGGGAATAATGCCACACAGTCTTTCCAGGTCTCTGTTTTGTCACCTATAAAATGATAATTTGGGCAAGTCATCCTGTAAATTCCTTCCCATTCTAAAGTCCTGTGACTTTGTAGGAAATGAATGGCCTGTTCCTATAGGTTATATAACTCTCTACTTATGTATTCCCATGCTATAGTCAAAATAATTTTCATTTGAGTGAAATAAAGTTACATGCTATAGAGTGTACATTTGGTTTTACCAGTGTTTGGACTGCCATGGAAATAAGGGTTATGTCTGGGGCAAGAGTGGACATTGCCACATTCTTCCCTTCCCGGTTTTTCTCAACATTATGTATGTTTGGAATTATAATAGAGTCCCTTAAGAGATTACTGCAGTTATTGCCTTTCTCCACTTACACATTTCCAGTCTTTTAATAACTGGGAGCCAAAATTCCCTGACCAGTAGTTTTAATTTGCATTAAAAACAGATTTATTCTTTACAGAAGCACAAAGAATTTATGGGACTCAGAGCTGCAGCTCCAGCTTGGATCTCGCCTAATCGTACCCATGGAATCAATTAACAGTTCATCTGTGAAATGTGATAAAATCTTATGAGATACATATTGCCCAATAACCGAGAATGAGATGAAAGTATGCTCCATAATAGTAACGGAGCTTCAGGGTTTTACAATCGCCATTGAATAGAGTTCCATTAGAAAATCAGTATTCAGGATGGCCACACACAAAAAAAAAACCACTGTGTCTGAACAGATGATAGAGCATTGAGTAATAAACCTGGCCAGCCATTCCTGCTTTGATTAGTTTCCAACACCCTAGAAAAGGGGGTCATTTATTTAAGTGTTCTTGCTCATGGCAAATGAGCTTGTGAGGCTTGGGGTAGGTGGGGGTGAGGGGGAAAGATTGAGTTCAAAGCTGTAAATTGCTGCAAAGCTAGTGCCTCCAAGAAGGGCTGCTTGGGAGGCCCAGGTAGTCTGGTGTGCAGTGAGCCTTGCTGGGATAGGTCTTACTGATATCTGGGAATCCACTCTGGAAAATTGGGATTCTTTACTGACCAGACTGGAGATCATTTTTCCAAGATCAGAAATGGTTTTTCATCCAAAACTTGCTATGCCTACAACTGTATCTGTTTTTGTACATCAGTGGTTTGTATTCTTGTATCATATTAAGCTTTAAAAGGTAGCCCTCCTGAAGATCATATCATCTACATCTCTTATTTTACCCTTGAGAAAATTGAGAGTCAAAGATGCTGAGTGATTGACCCAAGATTACAAAGCCAGTATATGCCCGAATAAGGATAGAATGGATTTTCTTGCTTTTTTGTGAAACATTTGACAGATTAATTATTCCCAATGAGCTATCGAACTGACCGCTGCTAATGCTGCAGTCAGTGTGTCATCTGCCTTGCATGTAATCACTAAACATAAAATGAAGAGCAGGGAAGAGACGGGGATTTGAGATGAAGAACAAACTCGAGACGTTTTACCTACACACCCCCAGAAATTATACATGCTGATTTTATACAGATAAGATGTGCCCAGGAGCATCCCAATCAAGTTCCATTTTTTGGCAAATCAGTTTGAGCAAATAGATTTTCTGAGGTTTACAATAAACTTCAGTAACTATGAGCCCCCAGCTTCTGTGTTACAAAATAAACACAAGAGAAACTGCCCCCAGCATCCCCCCTCTAATGGATTTTAGTGTTGGCAATTTCTCACCTCTACCTCATTCCATTTTCCCCCCTACCTGTTGCAGTTTTGAAACAACAGTACGATATTTTGGGATGAAGCCAAAGTCTGGTGAGAAGGAGATCACACCCAGCTACGTGTTTATGGTGTGGTATGAGTTCTGCAGTGACTTCAAGACAATTTGGAAACGGGAGAGTAAAAACATATCTAAAGAAAGGTAAGGTTCAAAAAAAGATTTTAATGCCTCCTTCAGGAGCCTAGGAAACTGCACTCTTAAACCTATCAAAGTGTGTCTATTTCACACCTGTCGATGTTTTCTTTCGGATGAAGTGGTCATAGGGGAAGGACTTTTTGCCTCAGGGATCGTAGGGAAATTCGGGGAAAGCTTGCTGTCCACACAGGCAGATATGCTCACATGATCTGATAAGTTACACTTTCTTAACCCCTTCCAATTACTAGCTAGTAAATGAAAGGAGGGTTGTGCTAATTTGCAACAGATTGCTTCTCTGTGTATTTTCATGTTGGCCCAGGCTAAATGAGGCAGCCTTGCTGTCGCAGACAGTATAGACAAATAAAAGTGAATGCTTTTCCCATTAATATACTGAACTTGCATCAAAGGAAAATCTCTGTGACTCAGGCCACACTTCACACAGCGTGGAAGCCCCGCATTGGATTTACAGCGCCACTTCTGACTCCCTGTATCCTGCTGCGGACATCAAACTGCGTGCCGCTCAGCCTCGTTGCAGCCCCCGATTTTATTAGCTGGGGGTAGAAGAAAAACCTCAACTCTGAATATAGACGGGGTGTGTGTGTGTGTGTGTGTGTGTGTGTGTGTGTGTTCGTTTTCCTTAGAGAGATTGAATTTGCCCCTATTTATCAGAAAAAAGCATTTCTGCCTGATCATTTTTGTGATTGGGTTGCCACTGTTATGGAAGGGGTGTCATGGATTTAAATTTCAAACAGGTCTTACTACTACTCCTGTGGAACAGATGTATAAGAATGGCATTCAAAACAGAGTGGAAGGAGACAAAAAATTCCTCAGCGTAAGGAAAATGATATATTTCATTATAGCATCTACCTTTTACTAACCTGTGAGGCCTGACATTCCATAATTCAGTATTTTTATTCTTCACTTTGTAATCAAAGAAAAGATATATACATAATATATTTCTAGACACATCACAACCTACCCTAATATATTTCACCTTAAAACACTAGTAAGAGGAGCAAAATTGTGAGATTTTTGACCTAGTATTAGTCTCTAAGTATTTTCTCAGGGAGCTAAAAAAAGAGAAAGGCCTTCTTTCTTTCCAAGGAAGTTAAAGATGTGTTTATCAACACATCTTCCCATCAGTACTTCTTTGGGAACATGGGAATTAAACTGAATATATCCATTATATAGATAAAACTGAAGCAGAGAAAAGTACCATTGTTGAGAAAATAGGTCGTTGATAATAACATGAAAAAAAATCCTAAAAATCTTGGCACCCAACCCATAGCTCTTGCCCTGCCATCACTTATTTAGCCCTTTAAAGTAAGCTAAAATAAGTTTCTGTGGAATCAATTCTCATACGAAAATACTATTCTTAAAACAGCATAGGAGCTGGCCAGTCTGCCCTCCAGGTCCATACACCTTGAGGCTGGGACATCCCACAGTGGGCCTGGAATGTACAGCTTTTGCTTAAGAATTTTTACACCTCAGATTTTGAGCACAGTCCTTAGTATATTTGTCCTTGGGGCCCTAAAAATGGTCTAAAACAAACAAAAGACCAACAGAGAAGGCAATTAATTGCTTTATATGTTAATGATCTTCTGTTGAAATAACTGTATTCCACATTAAAGAGTGTTCTGTATCATAGAAGTTAGATCAAAGAAATTGTGAGTCTGTCATAGAGGTGGTATCCAGAAGTCCTTCAAAATGACAGTATCTCTGATTCCCAGCCACGGGCGTTTGTGGCATTGCTTCCTGGGTGCAGCTGTTGAATTGCCTGCTTCACACTCTGTAAACCAACCCCTTTACAGGGTCATGACCTCACAAGACCCTTTTTGGTTCTTCTCATTTCGCAGTTTCAGGGGACCCTTCATTCCAGCCATGCTCTGTGAGGATGGATCACCAAGGTTTCTACCCTAAAACAACATCTCTGAAAGTTGATGATGGCTAATAAGATATTTCTGGAGGCAGCAGCATGGTTAGGAAAATCTGTGTGTTAAGAAATATTAGCACATTATGTATATTACTCCTCAACCATTTAAACAAACTGCTTGATATCCAGGGTTTTCTTAAAATCCTAAAGTGAGAACTTTGTTAAAGTGTTCTCTGTCTGCTAAAGATTTTAGCTTCTTTCCTGTTAGAATCACACATTCATTATGGTAAAATAAGCAAATTAACTGGAATTTTTCTATTAAATGAGGAACACTATAATTGCTTTGTTTTGACATCTATTTAATGATATTTGATATTATAGTTTCAATTATACTTTCCCCAGAAACCGAATATATCCCAACAACACTAAACATCAGGAGACAACATAACATCATTAACAAGGGCATCCTAAAAAATAAAATTCATAACCAAAATAAAAACCTGATGATGTGTAATTATAAAGAAAAAAACTAGTTTGGGATCTCATCAGAAAAATTCAACTCACTTAATTTTTAAATATATTGGAAGGCCAACTAAGTGCTCAAAATCATTGGAAAAATTAAGAATCAGTACTAGCATTTTCAAAGGGACAGGTTTCATGGAAAACACTGTTTTGTTTAAATTCTACTTCCAAATGAAATGGAAGTGTTGAAAACTACTTAGGCCACTGGAGGTTAATTTTAGGTGGTGGTGAATATTTACTTTTCCTGCTTAGGTAGTTTTCATGAGTACACATTAGTTTGATACAAAATTGAGATGAATGCATCTTCATAACAAGATAACAGCTTCCCCTCATAAAATCCAGAATAATCTCTAACATACAAATGACCACATAAAAATGTCCTAAGTTCTTGTGCCTTGTGAGTGAACAATAATCTTATTAAACTGGTGTCAGGGCACAACTCTGTGGTTCGGCAGAAGGAACAATATTTCACTGGGGAATATGGTTTACCTGGAGATTAACTATATCTTTGGAAGAGTAATCTACTGTGTCGTGGTATATTAATGGCTTTCAATTTTCCTTGGCATTCAAGCCAATCTTAAGCAAAAGAGCAAACTTCTGAGCCCAGGCACAAATCCAAAAGCGCCACTTTCTAGACGTGCAGTCTGTGACCCACTCAGTCATCGTGCTGCCCCTGGTATCAGGACTCATCTTTCAGTGAAGCATCCCAGTCCCTTCTCTTATCCCTTCTGAATATGTGCAGTGCTGAGCAGTGTAAAAAAAGACCTGGAGACAGAGAGCTGAAAACAGGCATTTTTACCCTTCACCCTGCCACCCCCCCACCCCCATTAATTGGCTATGTGATCTTGGGCCAGTCACTTATTCACTGGGAACCCGATTGTCACATCTGTAAAATGTATGTATCAGGACGAAGCAGGAATTAAATGGTGACTATGAGCTCTTCTAGCTCAAAATCTCTATGAATCTAGAAACTGCGGTTCTAATTTTCTGAGGAGCTGTGTGTTTCCCTTCTGCCATAGTGCCCCTCACCTTTGCTCTTGAGCTATAGGTACTATATTGGAAGATATTTCAAGCAAGGACTTGCAGGTGAGTTGGGAGAGAGATTAGGTGCCAGAAAGAATTTTCATTGCCCTCTTGAAATCGGTAAACATCTATAGCTACCTTGCCTCACCTGAACCCCCAGTTCTTCTCATAAAATACTAATGTTGGCCTTTGTTTTGTTTTCTTTTGAGTCATTCAGGCTAGAGTGCCATGACGCAATCATAGCTTACTGCAGCCTTGACCTCCTGGGCTCAAGCAATCCTCCTGCCTTAGCCTACTGAGTAGCTGGGACTACAGGTGTGCATCACCATACCTAGCTAATTTTATTTTTTTATTTTTGTAGAGACGGTGTCTCACTATGTTGCCCAGGCTGGTCTCAAACTCCTGGGCTCAAACAATCCTCCTGCCTTGGCCTCCCAAAGTGCTGGGATTACAGGCATGAGCCACCACGCCTGATCCTAATGTTGTTCTTGAAGATCACGTTTTTTTATGGAGCATGTACACAAAACGTTTTTTTCTCTGCTCATCTGTATCCAACATTGCATTTATGATGTATCATAATCCAAGGTTTATTTTATCCTCAGAAGCAACTTTGCCTCACTTTTACCTTTTAATGCACTTTTGTATTTGTACCTCATGATATCCAAACATTCAATGAATTTTTGGTACACATGTTTCTTCCACCTGTTAAATCAATAGATTATCCAAGTATATGCATAACTGCAAGTAGGTAACCTAATTTTTGCTGATACCTTTATTGGCTATTCTTTACTCTTTTTTATTTTTTTATTTTTTATTTTTTTTGGCTGCTGAATTATTCTGGGTGATAGGACCCTTACTTACAAAACATTCCACCATTTAGGATATCCTAAGACTGCCCCCACATATGCCCGCGCATGCACACGAAGCACTGCCTCCCACAAAATGAGCTTTGAATTTGCAAAAGGTACAGAAGGCCTACGGGAGTCATGACTCCAGGAATAAAGTCTGGGCATATAATTCACCCTGAGCCAAAGCAAACTTTAAAAGTGCCATTTAAAAACCCCATAATGGGTAAGTAATGAGTGAATTAGAAGTTTGGTGAATTTTATGTGAAATGAAAATAAGAAATTTCACTACACACATAGCTATAATTTACACCATAGGGGAATGGATAGTTATCTTGTTTTTTTCTTTTGGGGGCGAGGGGGCTGTTTTTTTATTACCCAGCCACCTACCAATAGGGTTTTTGTTTTAAGTCTGTTACTTGCTGCTGTTATGGGTGATTATGGAACTGCTGTACCCTTTACAGAAGATAGTTCAAAGCTGTTGTGAGGCTATCCTGAAAGCTGTTCTCACAGCTCCCTACTGCTCAGGTCACTTTAGGACCAAGAGTTGGGGACTTAGAGATGCTGTCACTCAATCCACAAGCCACTGACTGCAGTGTAGACACTACAGGAATTCTTTTCTTTACATGATAAACTTACTCCTAGAAAAAGCTCCATAAATAAAATTGTTATTTATTGAATTCTGCTTTCCTACTGACATACATACATGATAATTTCAGTAACTTGTAACATGTTAACTTTCTTTTCCTTGCCCTGTGTTATGTAGTTAAATGACTTGTATTCATTTAACCACTAAAGAGCTGCTTATTTTTAAAAATCCCTTAATAATACAATCACCCCCTAATTAATTGTCAAAACTTTGAATTTTCCTAAATCACATTTGAAAATGGTTCTGTGCAAATACACAAACAGTAAATGCCCCAAGACCTAACTGATAAACAACATTGTCATAATCACAAAGAACAGCCGGGCGTAGTGGCTCATGCCTGTAATCCCAGCACTTTGGGAGGCGGAGGTGGGTGGATGACCTGAGGTCAGGCGTTCAAGATCAGCCTGGCCAACATGGTGAAACCTCATCTCTACTAAAAAATACAAAACTTGGCTGGGTGTGGTGGTGCACACCTGTAATCCCAGCTACTCGGGAGGCTGAGGCAGGAAAATTACTTAAGCCTGGGAGGCGAAGGTTGCAGTGAGCCGAGATCGCGCCACTGCACTCCAGCCTGGGCAACAGAGTGAGACTGTCTTTAAAAAAAAAAGAAAAGAAAAAAAGAAATCACAAATAATAAAAACTGCTTATTCCCCAAGCAATAAATTTAAAACTACATCTGCAAAATTAAAAATATGCCATGAATAAGGAGAGAGGATAAACTAAAAAACTGTAAGAATTATAGGATCATTGGTTTAAAAAACTATACACACCTCTTGGCCCTCTCTCTGAAAGCATCATTCCGTCTCCTTTTCCCTTCTAACTTCTTTTCAAAGAATGATTTACGTTCATTTCCTTATTTCCTTTTTCGTACCACACACTCCTTCCTGTCTCAGTAAGGATAACGTCTTGGCTGCCATAACAGAGGCCAAAATAACTGTTGCTTAAACAAAGGAAAAATCAATTTTCCTCATGTATAACAATCTGAATGCAAGGAGTTTGGATGTCAGGAACCCAGTTTTCTTCTCTTTTGTGGTTGCCATCCTTAAGGTAAGGTCCTTATTCCCAACGTGTAAGGGGGCACACGTCAGGTCTACTGCTACCATTGCTGCTGAGTTCCTGCCAGTGGGAAGGGGACTGCACAACCTTTCCTTTTAATATTAAATAGCATGAGCCGGAAGGTGCACACATCACTTCCACTTTATCCCATTGGACAGAACTTAGTCTCATGGCCATACACAAGGGAGACCAGGAAATGTAGGCTTAGCTGGGAGCCATGTCCCTGCTAAAGACTCATGGTTTCCTTTACTAAAGGAAGCAGGAGAACTGCATATTGAGATTGTTACTAGACTGTGTCACATTTCCTAACTGAAATCAGATGACTCCTTCTAACTAATTCTTTGCCACTGCTAGTTTTTTTGGGTTTTTTTTTGTTTGTTTGTTTTATTTTGTTTTGAGACAGAGTCTTGCTCTGTCGCCCAGGCTGGAGTGCAGTGGCGCGATTTCGGCTCACTACAAGCTCCACCTTCCGGGTTCATGCCATTCTCCTGCCTCAGCCTCCCAAGTAGCTGGGACTACAGGCGTCTGCCACCACGCCCGGCTAATTTTTTTTTTTTTTTTTTTTTGGTAGAGACTGGGTTTCACTGTGTTAGCCAGGATGGTCTCAATCTCCTGACCTCGTGATCTGCCCGCCTCGGCCTCCCAAAGTGTGCCACTGCTAGTTTTTGACACCAATGGTAGTTTCCTCCATCTCGAAATGCCTCGTTGCTCTGATAATATATTGGGTCTCTCTGCGAAGGTGACTACTCCCCTTCTTCATCTCCCTCCTTAGTTCCTCTGTTTCTTCTGTTCCTTAAGTGTGGGCCTTCCCCAAGGTAAATCTCAGTGTTCCTCTTTTCTGCTCTATTCTCTGTTTTGTTAGTCCCAACTATTTTCACAGCTTCACCTATCACCTCATTGCCAAGGCCTCCCAAGTTTTAGACCTACATTTCCTACTGCACATTAAACTGTATACCCAGCCTTCATCTGCAATTCAATATGTCTCGGTTGGAAATTATTCCATCTCAACTAAGGCCTATTCCTCTTAGGCTCCCTAACTTTCAATTGCAACACTATCCTCCTCCTATTAGCAAAAGGCAGGCTGGAATGAGAATTATTTTTACTGCTACAAGATTTATTTTTCATCTATTTCTGACTCTTTATAGTTTTGCCCCCTTAATGGTGATTGTTCTTTACCCTGTATTTGAGGTGTCTCTGCTCTGATTCAGGACTCTATCATCTCTCACTTGGATTATTGAAACATCCTTCTAACTCTTCTCTCTGCCTAGAGGTTTTCTATTTCCTCTTGAAGTGTCCCTGAATATTGCATCCAATTATCTTTCCAAAACAGAATTTAGATCATAGTTATCTCTTTAAACATATTCTGTGGTTTTCCATTGCTCATGAAATAAAGGAAAGATAATTAGCCATGGATGGTACTTTAATTTATTAATGTATTAAGTTGTCACAACAGCCCTGAAGGAAAAAAAAAAAGGTTTATTGCTATTTCACAGCTAAGCATGAGAGAGTAAATGAATTTTCAATGTCATAGTTTCATTAATAAACAGAATGAGGATAAGAACCTAGGTCTTTTTTTTTTTTTTTTACACTAAAGCTTGAGTTCTTTCAAGAACTTCATATTCTCTCCCAAATTATAGCATGGCCCTCTGAGAACCTGCCCTAAACTCACTCTTTAGCCTCATTTCCTATAGCCTCATCCCTCCCTGCACCTACTATGACCACTCACTGTCTCACACCTGCACTTTCTTTCCTTGTGTTCTCACTGGATAATTTCTTCATACCGCATTCCCCCCATTATTTCCTGCTGATCAAAATAGAGTCGTCTTTCAAGGGCTGCCTCCAGAAACCAGGTTCTGTAGAAATGTTCTGAAATCTCCCTTAATAAAAGAATTAGCTTTTCCTGTGGGCTCTGACAGCATTTTCTTCTTACGATCCTTTAGTATTTAATTAATTCCAACTTGTTATTTTAGCAGTTTATGTGTATCTTTCCACTTCTAGGACACAAGCCTGTTCTTTGCTGTGTCTTGTATGGTGCATTCTCCAGCGCACAGCTGGATATTGAAAGAGCATTGAAGATCTTGGCTGGTGTAAGAGTTTGGAGGAAGAAATGATCCAAAGGAAATGTGGAAGCTACAGGGAGCTTTGAGAAGACACTTAGCCATAATCAGGACCACCCTAAGCAGATAGTTTTAGAGGAGATTCAGAAGCCAGTAGGGCAGTGTTAGAGATCAGCAGCTCCCAAACCTGGCAGATCTCCCAAGTCACCTGGAGGTCATTGTAAAAATGTAAACAGATCCACTGAATCAGAATACCAGAGTGTAGAGTCTAGAAATCTGTGGTTTTAGAAACTCCCCACAGAGATGGCAGAGCAAGAACACATTTTGTGTTTAGTTTCCTTAATAAATGCCTTGGCTTCACCATCCTCTTGTTTACATGTACCAGGTAGGCTTTGGAGATCAGAGATTGACACCTTCCTAGTGATCCTTCAGCCAAGTTTAGAAACTCCTGGGCTCAGGTGATCTTGCAGTTCTCTTCCAACCCTGACTTCCTGTGATTTTAAGTAGAAAATGAGCTGGGCATTGACAGCAGATGAATTTGGCTACATAGACATAAAGAGGCGGACCTGGGTGACTGAACATGCGTTTGGAGGAATCATGCAGTGTTATTCCTGGGATCAGCCTAACTGCCTTCTTTTCTGTGCTTCCTCCTTTGAGTGCTTGGTCTACTCCAGTCTCTTGTGTATTTGCACATTCCTATAATATAAATTTGCAGCACTTAATTTAAACACGTAGAATCATGTGTCACTTAACTAGCGGGATACATTGTGAGAAACGCATTGTTAGGTGATTTCATCATTGTGCGAGCATTATAGAGTGTACTTACACAAACCTAGATGGTGTAGCCTACTTCACACCTAGGCTGTATGGCATAACCTAGTGTTCTTAGGCTGCAAACCTGTACGGCAGGTTACTGTACTGAATATAATTGTAACACAATGGTATTTGTGTATCTAAACATATCTAAACACAGAAAAGGTACAGTAAAAATACAGTATAAAAGATAGAAAATGGTACACCTGTGTAGGGCGCTTAACCATGAATGGAGGTTGCAGGATTGGAAATTGCTCTGGGTGAGTCAGTGAGTCAGTGGTGGGTGAATCTGAAGGCCTAGAATATTACTGTACCCTTCTGTAGATGTTATAAACACTGTACATTTAGGCTACACTAAATTTATTTTTATAATAAAGTAGTTGTGCCACAACATTATGGTGGCTATGACTTCACTAGGCAATAGGAATTTTTGAGCTCCATTATAACCTTATGGGACCACCATCATATATGAGGTCTGTCTTTGACCGAAATGTCATTATGCAGTGTGTGACTCTACTTTAAAACTACTATAATATTTACATAATGGTATAATCTAAAAATATTATGTCTCAAGTGATATACAGACTATGAAACTATTCTGGAAAAATTTATTGATCACATACGGTGTCCTTCATGAAGCTTTCTCCAATCTGTGTGAGCTATCGTATCTCCAGAATTTTGGGGGTTTACTGTATCTTCAGTTTTGTCATTTAATGATTTGGTTTTTTATTCATTTGGTTATAGGCACTTTCTCTTTTAGATAAATCATAGGCCCCTAGAAGATAATTACAATGTCTTGTACCACTTTGTTTTCTCTGTAGCACCTTGTTTTTCCATATATATAGTAGATGCTGAGTTAGTATTTGTTGAACAAATAAATAATCATTGTGTTTCCTTTTGCCATGTTGAAATTGATTGCAAGATTTGCTGTCTGCTGCTGATAGATGAAAAATCTTGTTTATTTGGGTTTTGGTGGTAGAAGTCCCTAAATGTATCCCATATGGGTTGCTTTTGCCCAAGAATCTAAAATCTTAATAGCTTTGTTAAAGAGAATAGACATGTTCAGAACAAGAAAGATTAGTTAATGGAATAAAACAATCGCCAGCTCTGTTCTTGACTGTATTACTTTCAGTTTGTTTAGAAAAAAAGAAGGAAGTGGAGATCCTTTGGATTCATGGCTATGCCAAGCCTCAAACCTCTTTGGAGCTCAAATCAAAACCTTAGAGAGCATCTGTCCGCACTCCATTTCCCTAGCTTGGCAGAGAACAATGGAAACCTAAAGTATGTCTCCTTCATTCAGCCTAGAATATTTCTAAATTACTTATCTGTGGGACTCCTGACAGCTCCTGCCTTGGGCAGAGATGCAACAGGGGGCTGCCTGGGTAGAATGATTTGAGGGGCGCCAGAGAGACTCCTTACTCCAGACAATCTTCCCTGTTTCCTCACCCTTTTGTTCCAGTCACCCATGCAAACAGGCTCTCAGTGCTAGTTTTTGGTGAGACTCAGTAGGTGGTAGAGGTTTCAAAACCAAAAGGGGGAGCTTGCATCTGCTAGCACATGCATGTCTTCATTATCGGGATTGGAAATGTCTTCCAAAGACTAATGCATTTCAATTAAATTTGCAAATTTATGACACAGGGCTGATTTCAGTTTTCAAACTGTCTCCCAGACTACTCTCCCTAAATGAGGAAATGAATGCGATGCTGTTACCTTTCACTCTGCACCTAAATCGCCGGGTCGGCTCTGGGTGTTATGTCTACTAAGTGCAGAGTGATTGGCTTTAACTGATCATGCATTCCAGGGCAAGTCCAGGGCTCCCCAACTTCAACTCCCCTGTGTCCTGGGGGAGAAGCTCTGCAAACGGAAGAGGACTTTGTTCTGCAATTAATCACTTGAAGTCAAAGTATGTTTGGGTACTACAAGTGATAGCTCACAAAAACTATGAAGTGGCTGATCTGTGTAGCTGGTGAAATGCATGCAGTCTCTAAGAGAAGTTTTTTACTTTTAAATAGGAAAATATCTTAGGAATAGAGTAGGGAAAATTGTCAGATTTAGATTTGACAAAGTACACAATTGGACAAAGTAGAAGTGATATGCTAATTTATCATGGAATAACTTTTTTTTTTTAAGAGACAAGGTCTCATTCTTTTGCCCAGGCTAGAATGCAGTGGTGTCATCATAGTAACCTCCAATTCCTGGGATCAAGTGATCCTCCTGCCTCAGCCTCCTGACTAGTTAGGACTACAGACACACATCATCATGCCCAACTCATTTTTTAAAAAGCATTTTTTAGTTGAGAGGGTCTTGCTGTGTTGCCCAGGCTGGCCTTGAACTCCTAGCCTCAAGCAGTCCTGCCTCAGCCTCCCAAAGCACTGGAATTACAGGTGTGAGCCACCATGCCCAACTGGAATAACTTTTAAAGGCTAAATTCTGGTGTGTTAGGAGCTAAGCCTAAGATTACTTTCTGCTGGTATTCTTACTTTCCTGCTGGTCTGTTTTATCATGGCTGCTAGTGAAACTGACCTGGGAGGCACAGGAGGTGGTCGGTGCCAGAGCGGTCAGGGCTGAAGGTCAGACTCTGAAGAGAAAATGAGCATGGAAGAGTGTGTCTGTCTAAGTATGTGGCCTTGTTGGCCTGCCTGGGATAAATGAACTTGGGGTTACCCATTCTTTCTTACTGTTTATGGCTCTTTTCTCTTAGTTTTATTTTTCTACCCTTTGGAAACATTCCACATAGCCTAGTCAATGATGTTTTCATCAGCTGCTGCAGCAAGGAAAAAATTTCCCTTTAAATTGAGAAATTAATGAGTTTGTTGTTGTTTTTTTCTTACAGTAGGGAGTGACTTTACTTATTTCATTGACTTTTATAGCAGTTAACCTCGTGCGATAGTTATGTCAGGAATTCAGAAATGCCTCGTGAGTGACTGTTGTCAAGATGGATAGAAATGAGAGTGGTCCTCACAGCCCTGGTCAGGTCTCTACGATCTCACTTATTTAGAATCAAAGTTGGACATTAGCCCGTTTTCGCCTGGAGAAACAATTTCGCTCTGGGAACTGGGGGCTGTACCTTGTATAGACTCGAGTAGTATCAAAAGACCTGAACAAACTATATAGAGTGGACAGAGCCTTACTTCTGATGTTCAGGCCACCAGGCAGTGGTTGGAGGGATGGCTGGACACAGCCATATCCCTCTGAAAGCATATTTAAAACAGCCCTTATGGCGTTAATACCATCTATGTTTCAGGTAAGCCTAATGAGAAAAAGATCAAAACGTTGCCCTCAATCTTCTCTATTCAAAATGCCATAAACCATGTGATATTGAGCTTTCTGAGGCAAGGAAGCCATTTCCCTGATGCCCCAAAGTCTATATGTTATTCCTTGTGCCTTGGCCTGATGTGACTTAGTTCAAAGCTGCAAGGAGATCATGGCAAAGGAGTGAATATTCACTCCTTTTTGTATTTCATCCTTGAAGCTCTATATACCCCTTTTCTGACTTTTTCTTCTGAAGGGAGACCATAAGAGTGTCATTATTTGCTCATAGAAGCTGTCCCTGATAATGACTGGTAGAGCAAAGCTATATTGGGTAGTCAGACTGGTGAGTCATTTATTTTACAGGTGTGATCTACAGTGAGGGCCAATACCTTTTTTATACCACGGAAACCTTATTCACCATTCCAAAGGACCATAGGCCAGAATTGACTGAGCCAGTGGTAAAAATGTGTTTTTTGCATGTTCCTTTGTTTATCATGTTCGTCCATGTATTTCTGAACAGTCATGAGAATGAAGAGCTCTTGCATTTATTAGAGAGATTCTGAACTCCTGTCTTTACATTTAGGGTAAGTCCAGTGGTGCAGCAGCTTGGACCTTCAGTTTTTATCATCCTACTTTTTAGGGAACGTGGACATTTCCTGTGGCATGCTGACTTAAAGGCACATTACCTGTTGGCACACAGAGCATACCGTATCCATTTTTTAGACCATTTTTATCTTCTTTCTTTAGCAACGAGTGATATTAAAATCTTTTTTTAAAGAGATTCATATTATAGCTGGTCAGATCTCATGTGTTTCCCAAGATGCCTTTCATGAACCATATTCCCTCAATGTGTCTCTTTTCTTTGCCTTTGTCTGCCAATATTTCCAAAGCCATTAACTTTTAATGGCTTGGATCAAGAAACATACATGATCTGAGTCGAGCGGTGATTAATTTTAGTCACACTGTACTAGGTAGCTGGTAGGGCTTTCTTTTTAAAGCTAGTAGCATTAGAGGCCAAAAGTTTATTCCTCTGCTCCTGAAGTCACTTCTTGGTCCTGTTGTCTACAATACAAAAGCAAGTAATGTATTAACAAAAATGCCCTGATAGTATTACCAGATTGTATTTTCTGTACTGACTGAAATGAACCAATCATATTATTTAGGAGAATTTCTAACATATCACCCATAGGTGTTTAAAAGATAACGCTAATTTTCAGGGGCCAGTTACCTATTTTTAAACACTAAAATTAATTCCATAGGTTAGAGTGTAAACCCAAACCTGAACCATGATTTGAGACCTGTTGTGTCCAGACGCCAGTCATCAGCCTAAATTCCTTTTTTTCATTATAAATATAACTTAGCCTTTGTCTGGGCTTGATGGCTTACACCTGTAATCCTAATACTTTGGGAGGCTGAGGCAGGTGGATTGCTTGAGTTCAGGAGTTTGAGACCAGCCTGGGCAACATGGTGAAACCTCATCTCTACAAAAAAAAAAAAAATATATATATATATATATACACACACACACACACACACACACACACACACACACACACGTACGTATACACACACACACACACCCCCCTAGCATCATACTTAAGAGTTACTCAAAAGTTAACAGGTTGACAGTCTTGTTACAGTTCACACAGATACGTTGAATGGGAAAGAAAGGAAACGAGGATGAGCAGATGAACCCCCCTCCAAAAAAAGTTAATTGCAGTCACAGAATTAAGTTGGGAGAAGCCATAGGCAAGGTGTAATAAGATAGCTCTATTTAATTTTCATTCTGAAGCTATTAAAAGCAAAGGAGGCAAATAGACATTGGAAAGTTGCATAGGGCAGAAATCAGGGAACTCAAGCAAAATTCCAGAAAAGACCATAAATAAAATGAATCATAATGAAATGTGAGGCAATCTCTGCCTTTATGAGAGGGAAATAAATGGGTGCCCCACTTATTTCCACAGTCTGGTTCATCTGGATCTGTCCCCACTGTGCCTGTCTGTATTTGCCAGACACTGGTGATCTCACAGGCTTAGAACTTACCTGGAAAGTAATAAGCAGAAGAGAGTGGGAAAGCTGGCCATGTTGTGATTTTTGTAGATTTGATGTTTTACTGGAGCCCAAAATCTGAAATCTTGTGGTTATGGCTGTCAGAAGAATCATCCCCTTGGTCTTCTTAAATCAGTTGTCTACCTCTAAGATATTCATAGACAGTTCTTTAGGAAGAAGCTTTCTGTTGGCTTCTGTTGTCTTTCTCCTGAAGAGGAAGGTTTGTTTTGTTTTGTTTTGTTTTGTTTTTCCCCCTAGGAGCTTCAAAAAGTTCTGTTAAAAAAAAAAAAGCAGACCTCTTTTTGTCTAAAAACATACATAAATCATCAATGTATAAAACAAAGTAAAGCTTTTCTAACTGAAGCAGAGCTTGCCAACATTGGCATCTGGAGGATCCCCTAATTCTGCCTCTTCTCCCTGAAACACCTTTGCTGAAGGTTAAAGCTCTTTGAAAAATAGTTTACAAACACTGCTCCAAACTATTGGATTTTCCAATAGTGAAAAGGAGTGTAAAGCAGCCTGAACACTCTTATCTGCCCCATTTCCTCCATATCTCATTTATCTCTTGATTGGCTGGTGTGCTCAATCCCTGTGGTCAAAAATAAAAGCACTTCTGTTATTACAAACTTCATAATGATTTCAGTATCTTCTGCCTTGTACAACACAAACCAGTGAAATACTGAATGTCAAAAGAATAAAGACTTGGTACTTCCTCAGTCTCACAGATGGCTAGATTCTGAAAATTGACTTGATTTAGCTGCAGCTGTATGCCTCTAACCTGTAGAAAGCCCACAGTATGCCCATAGGCTTTCCCAAAAGATGAGGCTATAACAGTGGGGAGCCTAAATCTCTAAATGGAAAGCCACGCCACTTCAACTACTTTTTTTTTTTTTTTTTTTTTTTTTTTTTTTGAGACAGAGTCTCGCTCTGTCGCCCAGGCTGGAGTGCAGTGGCACAATCTCAGCTCACTGCAAGCTCCCCCGACCCCGGGTTCACGCCATTCTCCTGCCTCAGCCTCCTGAGTAGCTGGGACTACAGGCGCCCACCACCACATCTGGCTAATTTTTTGTATTTTTAGTCGAGATGGGGATTCACTGTGTTAGCCAGGATGGTTTCGATCTGACTTCATGATCCACTCACCTCGGCCTCCCAAAGTGCTGGGATTACAGGCGTGAGCCACCACACCCGGCCAGGTTACAGTCAACTTCTACAGAGTCAAGACTAGGCAAGAACATCAGAGGACATGACTCACTTTCCCATCTTACACTTGTGTCTTTCCTCAGTAGACTTTGGCAGCACTTGGTATTTACTGGGGCTCCCAATAACTCCTTAGGGAGCATATGCATGATAATGAGAAAGAGGAAAAGATAAAGTTTTCAAAAATTTTACTGAGACGTTTATCAATTGAGAATATATATTTTCTTTCTCTGATATGTTTGTTTGTTTCCTATATTTCCAAATTCTTTT